>NC_000001.11:241638667-241790182 GCF_000001405.40 Homo sapiens | reverse complement strand
GATGGGGTTTCGCCATGTTGGCCAGGCTGGTCTCGAACTCCTGACCTCAAGTGATCTGCCTGCCTCAGCCTCCTAAAGTGCTGGGATTACAGGCCTGAGCCACCATGACCGGCCATTTCATGTATTTAAATTCACTAATAGCCCTTGGGGAGTGGGAGGGGAAACTCTATATTAGGAACTAGGAAACCGCTTTTACAAGACCAGTGCTTGACTTCCATATGATTCAAGGAGGCTTCCCTTATAGTCAAAACTTAATTATGTATATATTTAGAAAGTCATAACTATTTTTTTTAACTTTTATTTAAGTTCAGTGGTACATGTGCAGGTTTGTTATTTCGGTAAACTTGTGTCATGGGGGTTTGTTACACAGATATTTCATCACCCAGGTATTAAGTCTAGTACCCATTAATTATTTTTCCTGATCCTCTCCCTCCTCCCACCCTCCACCCTCAAGTAGGCCCCAGTGTAGTGTATGTTGTTCCCCTCTGTGTGTCCACTTGTTCTCATCATTTAGCTCCCACTTATAAGTGAGAACATGCAGTATTAGGTTTTCTGTTCCTGCATTAGTTTGCTAAGGATAATAGCCTCCAGCTCCATTCATGTTCCTGCAAAGGATATGATCTCATTCTTTTTTATGGGTGCATAGTATTTCGTGGTGTATATGTACCACACTTTCTTTATCCAGTCTACCACTGATGCATACCTAGGTTGATTCCATGTCTTTGCTATTGTGAATAGTGCTGCAATGAACATACACATGCATGTATCTTTTTAGTAGAATGATTTATATTCCTTTGGATACATACCAAGTAATGAGATTGCTGGGTTGAATGATATTTCTGTTTAACATTTTCAAAAGACAAGAAATACTATGTCCTGAGATGAAGTCATTCTACAGAAGAAGGCCCATTTTGCTACAGATAAGCCATAATTATTGAGCAATAACAACATAACATGAGCACGTGTCCTACGCTAAAGCTGTCCTGTATGTACCATGCCCTTTCATGCTTCTGTGTCTACCATTCACATCTGCTCCCTCTGCTTGTGATATTCTCCATTAGTCATTCTTTATTAGTTCCATAAATATCTTTTGAGTGCCTGCTGTGTGGTGAGCACTGAGCTATGAACTGTTTTATACAAAGATGTATAAAACAAGGTCCTGGTCTTCAAGGAACTCACAGTATAGAGAAGAAGATGCATATGGACAAATTAGAATCCTGTCTTAAGTACTAGGATATATGAACATTCAAGGCTAAGCAATTGCCCAAAGTAAAACTGAGAAACTTTGCTTGGTAAACTTTACTGCATCTTGAAGCTTGGCTTACTACACCACCTCTTCCATCTCAGCCAGCCTCTTCTCCAGTGCTCCTTACTGGCCAGCCAAAGTAGTCCTTGAACACTCTGATGGGGTCACCTGGAACCCTTCTTGATTGTTTTCAAATTGTTCCTGCTTTGATCCAAATCCTGTGTGGCTTCTGATTTTTAGCTTCAATTCCTATTTAGAACCCTTCTACCATCTTTTGAATTAGGTAATGACATTGGGTCTTTCCAGCCTTGAGTGCACTTGGGATTTCCCTGAAGGACTTTACTTTTGATATCCCTCTCTGATTCTTTCCATTTGGACTCATCTTCCGTGGCTCCCTTAGTGCTGGTCTGTGAGATGTAACCAGTCCAGGCAGGTCTGGTCCCCTGAAGGCTGGACATTTTGACATTCACCATCTAGGGTTGAGCTGCACTGATATTGAAAACTCAAGAGTACTGATCTTTTCCATTATGACAAAGGATGTCTAAAACCAGGATTGAAGATTGTAAAAGTGGAAAATAGCTTCTCTCTCACATTCTGTACTCTATCCTTCCTCCCCTATGCCTTTAAGCATGGTCAAATTTCCCCCACTAACAAGTTATTGCACCTTTGGTCTTCTTTGGTTAAATCCTATTTGCCCTTCTGTTACTGTCTTAAGAATCAGATGTTCCCAGAAGTACTACCAATTATAGCTTTGTTTACATACATTTCCCTTCCACTGGATTACAAAATTATTGAAAAGTTCTGGACCTCTTGCCTTGAATTCTCCATCTCAAGGACAGTGCCACAGCATCTCAACAGTTTGATTCTTGTATGCTTATCTAAAGAAGAGCTAATGGTCTTACTTTTCCCGGTCAAATATCAGAGGATATTCATATTTTTGCTTCTCTGTGAACTTGCTTTCTTCTTTTATTTCTATGGGATATTCAGTAACATCACAAGGCAAAATGAAATCTCTTGTCTGTGATAATTCAAAGAGCCTTCGCTGTCCAAAATATCCACAATAATGTCCATTGAGGGCATGCCAGAGCCTGAGGGAAGGAAAAGGAAGGGAGGAAAAAGTAACTGGAAAATTTGGTCAAAGTTATTCTGTTCATTAGATCGTTTATGTAAATTAGCGCTGGTCCATCAAGGATTTTTTTACTTGGGTTCAAGACCCTTTCTATGAAATACTGTGGAGCTAATCATAATGTAAACTTTTTTTTTTTTTTTTTGAGATGGAGTTTTGCTCTTGTTGCCCAGGCTAGAGTGCAATGGCATGATCTCGACTCACTGCAACCTCTGCCTCCTAGGTTCAAGTGATTCTCCTGCCTCAGCTTCCCGAGTAGCTGAGATTACAGAAGCCCACCACCATACTTGGCTAATTCTTGTATTTTTAGTAGAGACGGGGTTTCACCACTTTGGCCAGGCTGGTCTTGAACTCCTGACCTTATGTGATCTGCCCGCCTTGGCCTCCCAAACTGCTGGGATTATAGGCATGAGCCACCATGTCCGGCCAACATTTTTTTTTTTTTTTTTTGAGGAGTCTCGCTCTGTCGCCCAGGCTGTAGTGCAGTGGTGCCATCTCGGCTCACTGCAAGCTCCGCCTCCTGGGTTCATGCCATTCTCCTGCCTCAGCCTCCCGAGTAGCTGGGACTACAGGCGTCCACCACCATGCCCAGCTACTTTTTTTTTTTTTTTTGTATTTTTAGTAGAGATGGGGTTTCACCGTGTTAGCCAGGATGGTCTCAATCTCCTGACCTCGTGATCCACCCGCCTCGGGCTCCCAAAGTGCTGGGATTACAGGTGTGAGCCACCGTGCCTGGCCTCCAGCCAACATTTTTATCAGTTAGACTGTAGTCTGCAAACTTTTTGGGAAATATTAGTTTGAATCTGTACTTATGACACCCATTTGTCAAAGCCAGAAAACAAATGGGCAGTGTTATTTCAGGATAATAAAACTGCATTTGGTTGCTAAGGGTAATGGCCTCTAGCTCCATCCATGTCCCTGCAAGAGACATGATCTTGTTCTTTTTTATGGCTGCTTAGTATTCCATGTTGTGTGTATACCACATTTGCTTTCTTTCTATTTTCTTTTGGGAAAATAACACTGCCCGTTCAAGCTAATCAGAACACTTGTTAACTAACAGTGTATTCATTGAATTAGGCCTTAGAATGGGCTGTATCTCAGCTGGCTACTTTTCAAATCAGCATCAACCAAACTTAAGGGAGGAGGGATCTCATGCTGCTTTTACTATTATCAAATTCTCCTCAACCTCCATCCACAGCTGCTACTATTGTGCAAATACCCTGCTAATTTTTACAACTGAGTTCTGAAAGAGGATGGCAAGAGAAGGGACTCGTTATCCATATGCCTTGTTTCACTATCACTTCACTCCAAGAGGTCCCTCTAAATAGCCCATGTGGTTTAAAGTAATACAGAGTATTATTAGCAGGAGTGTGTGCCCTAGGCCATATGGGAACATAAAATAGTATTTGGAAGATCTTCCTTTTATTTATTGATTTCAACCTCAGAGTGGCAAATGATGGCAATCATCATCATGAGCCCTGCAGCAATGACCTAAAAGGAGGAGGGCAAGCAAGCTAAAGAAACTAAGAGTAGATTCTGCAAAGTCTGAATAGCCTCCCACCTCAGAGAGGTAGATGTTGAGAAGGAGGCAGAAACAGAGGTATCTATTTGGGACTTCTCCCACTTGACAGTGTCCTGGGGAATTAACATGAGCATCTTCTATCCCTTCCATGTATTAATTCTCCAGCATTATAAAAATGTCATGGCCTGGCCAGAACCTTTACCAAAGAGAAATAGACCAGCCCTTTAATAGTAAAATTTAGAAGGGTGAGGGGCTAACTTCGGAACAATTCTAAATTTATTCTGCTTTAGGCAGGACTGAAGAGACTGTAGTCTCCTTGTTTCCTGCTATGCATGGAGCTCTCCCAAATAACTAATCCTGCTTCCCAGCTTGATTTCCTGGGCCTCAGATACAGAACCTTAGCTACCTTGAGCCCCACTTTGCCTCCCTGAACTTCTGTCTACAGACTGATCACCTGTCCTGCATCCCAGAGTTCAGCCTCAATTATGTTTGTTTCATATTTAAAAATCTCATCTTTTTGACAAGCAAGATTTAGAACGTTGAAACTGCCTAACTCTTTAGAGAGTGGCAGTGAGTATTAGCAAAGGGACATGGCTTGGTTATGAAGACAGTTGTGTTCTGAGGTAGCTATTAATAGATGTAAGCACTTTGAACTGAGTATCTAGGGAGATTTTCACTGTAAGAAATCATAAAATTAATTTCTCCATGCCAAGGATAACTGGAGTGAGCAGTGCTATGGCGTGAATGTTTTTGTCCACCTGCCAAATTCATATGTTGAAACTTAATCCCCGAAGTGGTGATATTGATGTGAAATGGGACATGCTTAGGTCACAAGGGCTCAGTCTTCATGAATGGAATTAGTGTCTTTTAAAAAGAGGCCCGAGGGAGCTTGTTTGCCTCTTTCACCATGTAAGGACACAGCTAGAGGGCATCATTTATGAAGCAGAGAGCAAGACCTCAGTAGACGCTGAATCTGCCAGCGCCTTGATCTTGCACATCCCAGACTTCAGAACAGTGAGCAATAAATTTCTGTTGTTTATAAATTACCCAGTCTAAGGTATTTTGTTACAGCTGCCTGAACAGACCAAGACAAGCAAGGAATACCTTACAACAACAGTGGCATGTACATATGTGGTTGTGCCATGTGTGTGCGTCTGTGTGTGTGTTACAAACTCAAATGAACACTTCTGCTCATAGGTAGCTGAAAATAAGCTGGAGCAGAGACCAAGGGACTGAGTTGTTAAAAACATCTATAATAATGACATTTAATGTTCTTACTCTTTCCTGCAAATAAAACAGCAGATGTCCTTTCTTTTTTTTTTTTTTTTTTTTTTTCAGACAGAGTCTCACTCTGTCGCCCAGGCTGGAGTGCAGTGGCGTGATCTCGGCTCACTACAATCTCCGCCTCCCAGGTTCAAGTGATTCTTTTGCCTCAGCCTCCCAAGTAGCTGGGATTACAGGCTCATGCCACCACGCCCGGCTAATTTTTGTATTCGCAGTAGAGACAGGGTTTCACCATGTTGGTTAGGCTGGTCTCCAACTCCTGACCTCGTGATCCACCCGCCTCGGCCTCCCAAAGTGCTGGGATTACAGGCGTGAGCCACCACACCCAGCCCAGATGTCCTTTCTTACAGAGGAAGTAACTCTGACCTTTTGCCTCCAAATAGGACCTTACTCCCAAAGATTCATCTTGAATTCAACGTTCTAAAGCTCTTTATCCTTCCACATTCTAAACATTTTCCTCTTTTAGAGCCCTGTATCTTAATGAGTGGTTCTAACATTCACCTAGTTGCATAAACCAGGTGTCATTCTTGACATTTATCACTTACCTCCCCTTTGAGTTAAAGTTCACGTCTTCTTGATTTTGCCTTCTGGATAGCTATCATCAAATCTAAACCACTTATTTCCAGGCTGTTACCACTCCTCTAATCCAAGCCACTACATTCACCCTGGACTTCAAACCGGTCTCTTTGCTCCCACTTTTGCTGCCCTGCAATCTATTCCCCACCCATTACCTTCCAAAAATATAAATCAGGTCATATTACTCCCCCACGTAAAATTCTGTGCAGTGGCTATTTCTTTCAGGGGAAGGATCCAAATTCTTACCAGTGCCTCCTGGACACTGTGTGGCTTTGGTCTGTCTAACTCACTAGCCTCAAGCCCACACAGTTAGCTAGGCTGTCTTGAATTTCAGTCCAGCAACTTTTATGCAGCATAAAATATTCCTTCCTTTTGGTTTTGATTCCATTGAAATTCCCTAATATACTTCAAAGCCTCTCTACCTCTCTTAATCTTACCTAACTTCATTCTTTTAAGCGGATAATTCATTACCATGATTTTAAGACATTTCAATATGCAGAAATTTGTTTCTAGAAATGCCATGACATTTCCTTTCTTTCTCTTTATATGTGTATGTGTCTTTAGCATTTTGTGTATAGGTACTTAGCATTATCTAGGTAATTGATAACAATAGGCTTTGCAAAATCCATCACAGAGTCAATGACATAATTAGCTTACCCACTTTTCTCAGCATCAATTGCTCTTTTCTATTACTTTTCTATGACTTCTGATTCTGAGCCCCCCTCTATGACTTGGGTCTAACTCTCCGAGATAGCTATCTTGCTTAATTCTTTGAAGTAATTCTACAAAAAAAACTTCACTTTTATCAAAAGCATTTGTGATACCTTTTAATATAGATGAATGTGACATCTCATGTCCTTGGTCATGAAAGAGAACTCCAAATCAGTGGCCATCTTTTCAAAGTCCTTTTGTGTCATCTATTTACTTATTTATTTAAATCAGTTTACCAAGATTGCATTTGAACTATATACTTCAACTTTAGCTTAAAATCCTTTACCTCTCATGCTCACAGTACTGAATTCACAGTATGATGCCATCTTGGCCTACCTTACTGAGCCATCGATGGAGGCAGTAAGTACCACTTGTTTTTCTTCTACATAGATTACTTGAATAATTTCCAAAGAATGAGCACGCCAGGAAAGCAGCTGCTTGAATTTCTAGATAGCAAAAACAAGGCATATTCCTCGGAATAACTATATGCTAGTAAAAATGTAATCTTCAACAAAATCATTTCTCATTGAGCCAAGCTTATGAGTGGAAGATGTAGACATCTGTGCTAGATGATTAAGTCCTTGCCCCCAATTAGCTCTTCTCTTGCTTGTTGGGGTACAAGAAGTCCTGTTTTTAAAGACTTATTAATTCATACATCTCCCTGGGAGAGGAAGTATCTTATGTCTCTGGCAATTTATCATGTAACTGAGAATTAGCGATTCATTTAATTGATGATTAGCAGATGACTAGAGGAAAGAGATGCTTTAGGAGAAGGTTGGAGGGGGACTGAAAGTAAATATAATCAAGAATAGAAGGAAACAGAGCTGGAAGGTAAAAGCTAAAGGGGAGATTGGCAAAAAGACTTTTCCTGTGTTCAGATTTTATCTAGAGATAGAACTGGCTGTTTTGTTCTTTTGGGGGGAGTATGGGGTGGGAGATACATGCTATAAGTAGTTGATGAAAAGAATAAAACTCAGCTTCATTCTCTTTCAAAAACATCATGAATCATCTGTCACAGGAGTAGAAAAGAAAAAAATCATGAGGCTTCATTGTTTATGTTTCTTCAGGGTGTGGCTATCCTCAAGTTTAGGGCCTCTCGTGGGCCTCGGGAGACCTTCCTGAATTGTGTGAACTAGAGTTGTTAAGTGGAGAGCTTGCTCTGCACTCACACCCCCTGTGAGTATATTCCCTCTTTATCACTGATAAACCCGGACTGACACCTTACTTTGTCCTGGGTCATTTACCTAGAAGTGTAATGTGATGACAGTCCTGGCAGTTTAGAGTTCTCCTGCGAGTCTTCTATTTATTTAGGCTTTAACAAAGGGTAGGCGCAATTCCGCCTAAATTTGTTGGCCTTCTGACTCAATTCCCTCTGGTTATTTTTAGAGAGCCAAAGTAAAATCTGGACTCCTAGTTCTTTTTTCTTCTTTTGAGACAGAGTCTCGCTCTGTTGCCAGGCTGCAGTGCGGTGGCGCGATCTCGGCTCACTGCAACCTCTGCCTCCTGGCTTCAGGTGATTCTCCTGCCTCAGCCTCCCGAGTAGCTGTGACTACCGGCACGTGCCGCCACGCCCAGCTAATTTTTTTTGTATTTTTAGTAGAGACGGGGTTTCACCATGTTGGCCAGGATGGTCTTAATTTCTTGACCTCGTGATCTGCCTGCCTCAGCCTCCCAAAGTGCTGGGATTACAGGCGTGAGCCACCGTGTCTGGCCTACTTCTTATTGTCTCAAAGCTATTCAAGAATATCTGGTCATCCAAGGTTTCTTTCTCTGCCTTAGGATGGCATTCTCTAACACTGACTGTATTTATAGTAAGATATACATTTTGCTTCATGACTCCATGAACATATACATATACTTGCACATGTGTCTGAAACAAGTTTCACAAAAGGATACTTCACCTATGTGAAATGTACATCAATATGATCTATTCTGTTCTACTGCATTGCATTCCATTCTCTTCTATTTTTATAAAAATACTGGTTACAACTAATTTAATTGATTTCATGACCCCTTAATGGATTGAAATCCGCAATTAGAAACTAAGATTGTCCTTTCTGTATGTGTGTATATGTAATTATATGTGTGGTCTCTCTTTCTGTGGAGAGGTTTCGACTTATCTTTCAGAATGTCTGTATACCATGGAACTTCTTTTTTATCAGTAATATCGGGAGAGAACAAGATTAACCTTTTTTTCTAGACTGACCTATTAGGTATTCATTGCAGTTGTAATCTATAGCCGGACCTGGTTTAAGCATTGGTATTTGTTGATCTATGTAATAATGAGGCATTTTATAGCCAGGTTCTATGGTTCTGTTGTATATTTATAAATAGGCAGCCATGTACAAATGGTATGATTCCATTGTCTGAGTACAGAAAAGGTTGAAATGAAGTTGAATATGAAAGAATTTAAAATAAGTTACTAAAGATTCTCTAATTTTAAATTTGTGAAAATGCTTTAAAATTATTTCTACTAATTTTGTAACTCAATATTATTCTATAACTTTGTTTTGAAGATTTTCTCTAAAGTTTGAAAGATCTCAGTTGTTAGTTTATAGCAATTCCATTTGCGAAACTGTAGGCTTTGAATGACATTTTATCTGTTAAAATTAATAATACAATATAATAATCATCAGCAGTAGGATAAAACAATTACATAACTTTTCACCTATATATGGTTCAAGCATACGGTTTGTTTTTGTTCAGCTTGCAGCATGTCTTCGTTACAAGCAATTTATAGTTACTGGTAAATGAAACTTCGTGTTTCTCAAGTTGTTTGAACCTTGCTGTTTTTCATTTGTTAGCATAAGTATTATATACGGAAAGAGTATTGGATTAGCAATCAGAACCCCGACCCTGGCCCTGACTTCATCACTGTCTATGTGCTCCTTGGCAAGCTATTCTCTGATTTACCCTCTGCAGGTGGAGATAGTCAAACTAAAGTTGAATACCGAAACCTTAAAAGAGTTAGAATAGATTCTCTGAAACAAAAAGAAAACTCCACTAATCAAATGAAACAATATTTGAAACAATAACTATTCTGAGACACTCTGCAAGGAATCAAATCCTAATCAACATAAACCCCTTGTTAATACTTGTGATCCAAAAAAAAGTATCTATTTAAGCTAATATTTAGCTTTTGATTTGATGTGTTAAAGAAAAATAGGGCTATGCTAAAATAGCTGTTCCTTGGTATAATATTTTAAAAAATAGAATAAAATGTGCTTTAATGTTAGGAAGAATTTAGACTAGAAATAAGAAAAAAATTCTTAAATGGTTCTGCACTAGGTTTGCAAGGAAGGTTATGGAATATCTTATAAAGGATAAGATATAGAAACTGACTGTGGAGGACTGTATAATCTATGAACTTTTTCTAACTCTGGGTTGCTATATGAATTCTCACAAATAAGTCAAAACATGAAGACGATGCAAAGTGACCAGTGGCTGGCATACTTACTCCCTCTCCCTCACTTACTTCTTGATCCCTTTTCACCAGCAGACCACTGCAATTTGTCATGTAGCTCAAATTTCAATAGTATATGTGCCTTGACAACAGAGAGTCTTGTATTTCTATCCTTTATGGTGTCTAGCACAGAGAAATGCTCAATAAATATATGCTGACTCATAAATTAAAGTGGAAAACTGAAGTTCTTACCTTTTCATCATGAGGTGGATCCAGGAAAGAGCTAATATTGCAAAGGATAACATGTCCTTCTGTATAAAATTTAAACATTGGAATCTTTAATTAGATATCATGTTATCTAAATCAATACTATCCAAAAGTTATTTTGATTTAGGTATTTATAATGCTGAATAAAACAGAACCTGAGAAAACAGAAATGAAAGCAGAAATTTCATATTCATTTTTATTTATTTATTTATTTATTTGAGATGGAGTCTCGCTTTGTAGCCCAGAATGGAGTGCAAAGGCATGATCTCAGCTCACTGCAACCTCTGCCTCCTGGGTTCAAGCAATTCTTCTGCCTCAGCCTCCTGAGTAGCTGGGATTACAGGTGCCTGCCACCACGCCCGGCTAATTTTTTTTTGTATTTTTAGTAGAGACAGGGTTTCACCATGTTGGACAAGCTGGTCTTGAACTCCTGACCTCAGATGATCCACCCGCCTTGGCCTCCTAAAGTGCTGGGATTACAGGCATGGGCCTCCACACCTGGCCCATATTCATTTTTATGTGTAGAAATTATTTTGTTTCTGTCTTGGTAAGTCTTAATGAGATTGCTTCACCCACTTAGAGTTCTTTTAGAGATCAGGGTAGTGGAAATGAATATACCACCAAACAGAGTCCAAACTCTTACAGAGATACTCAGCCTACAATTTAAATGATAGTTACAAAAACTACATATCAAAGAGCAACAATGACTACACCTCAACTTTTAAACTATTTAAACTGCAGGAAAACAAAGGTATAAAAAAGAGTCTTGAAAGAAGCCAGATGGAGGAAAAAAAAATGAACACAAACATAAGAATGACATCAAACTTCTTATCAAAAGCAACGCAAGCAAGAAGAGTGGAGTGAAATATTTAACATGTTGAGAGAAAAAACCGACCAACCTAGAATTCTGTACTTTGCAAAATTAACCTTCAAAAGTAAAGGAGAAATAAAGACTTTCTCAGACAAACAAAAATTGAGATAATTTGTCACTAATAGGCCTGCCTTTCAAGAAATGTTAAAAGAAGTTCAGAAAAAAGAAAAATGATATAGGTTTAAAAAAACTCATATCTACATAAGGAAACTAAGAAGACAAGGAATAAGCAAAGATAAAATAAAAACTTTATTTTTGTTAATTGATCTACCGGATAATGGTTTGTTAAAAATAATGATAGCAACAATGTATTTGATAATTATAACTCATAAATACTTGAAATGAATGATAGTAATTATACAGGAGATAAAAGAGAGACATTAGGAATACTTTGGTATTATAAGATACAAAGTGGCATAATATTACTTGAAAATAGGCACAGGCTAATTGTGAATATATATTATTAACTCTAGGGCAACCACTAAAAAATGTTTAAAAGGAAGTATAATAAATATGCTAAGAAAGGAGAGAAGATAGAATCACACAAAATGCTCAATTAAAATTGCAAAAGGCAGAAAAAGACTGGAAGACAAAAACAGGAATAAAGAGCCAGGGCAACAAATTAAGAATAGTAACAAATATGGTAGATACTAATTCAACTATGTCAATAATCAATTACTTTAGATGCCAACAATCTAAATACACCAGTTAAAACAAAGAGAGTGTCAGAGTGAATTTAAAAACATGAGCCACTGTATGTTGTGTATAAAAACCTACTTTAAATATAGATACATATAGATTAAAAGCAAAGGAGTAGAAAAAGATATACCACGCTAACACTAATCAAAAGAAAGCAAGTGTAGCTGTATTAATTTCAGACAGAGCAGACTTCAGAGTGATAAAACTTATCAGGGATAAACAGAGGGCATTACCTAATGATAAAAGGGTCAATTCTCCAAGAAGATTTGACCATCCTTAATGTGTATGTCCCTAATAACAGATATCAAAATACTTATAGGACAGCAAGTTGAAATAGATGAATCCATTATTATAGTTATAGACTTCAACACCCCTCTATGAAAAATGGGCAGACCAAGCAGGCAGAAAATCATTAAGGATATAGTTCAGATCAATGGCACCATCAATAAACTGAATATAATTCACATCTATAGATTACTTCATACACACACATTCAGAACACACATTCCTCTGAAGATCATGTAGACATTCCCCAAGATAGATCATGTTCTGGGCCACAGAACGCACCTGAACAACTTTAAGAGACATCATACAATGTATGTTTTCAGACCACAATGGAATTAAAGTAGAAACCAGTAACAGAAAGACAACTGGAAAATCCCCAAGTACTTGGAGATTAGGTAGAATATTTATAAATTCTTTGGGTCAAAGAATAAATCTCAAGGGAAATTTAAAAGTATTTTGTATTAAATAAAGGTGAGGCCAAGCATGGTGGCTCATTCCTGTAATCCCAGCATGTTGGGAGGCTGAGGTGGGTGGATCACCTGAGGTCAGGAGTTCGAAACCAGCCTGGCCAACATGGTGAAACCCTGCCTCTAGTAAAAATACAAAAATTAGCTGGCCGTGGTGTCAGGTGCCTGTAATCCCAGCTACTTGGGAGGCTGAGGTGGGAAAATTGCTTGAACCTGGGAGGCGAAGATTGGGGTGAGCTGAGATTGTGCCACTGCACTCCAACCTGAGCAATAGAGCGAGACTCTGTTTTAATTAAAAAAAAAAAAAAGGTGAAATTACAACTTATCAAAATTTGTGGTATGCAGCGAGAGCATTGCTCACATGGAAACTTATAGCATTCAATGCATACATTAGAAAGGAAGAAAGATCTAAAATCAACAATCTAAGCTTCTACTTTAGGAAAATAGAAAAAGAAGTAAGACCTGTCTCTACAGGAAAAAAAAAGCATACACCTGTAGTCTTAGCTACTCAGGAGGCTGAGGTGGAAGGATCACTTGCAGGAGTTGGAGATTACAGTGAGCTATGAGCACACCACTGCACTCCAGCCTGGGCCACAGAGTCAGACCTTGTCTCTCTTCTTTCTTTCTAAAGGCAACAACTAATGATGTAATGATGCCTGAGGGTGTCTGATTTAATCTAGTGAATAGATAGCAGCCCTCAAAGAAGTTCTTTTAACATCTACTGAGGCAGAGAAAAAGGAAGCCTAATAGAATCTAGGAGCAGTCCACTTTAGTTATAATGTAGATGAGGATAGATTGGATCCCAAACCCACTCTATTTTCTGGATCACAAACAGAAACCACAAATTTCAGGATGAGAATGGGCTATATGATAGTAAAGTATTCTAGGCATAGGCAAAGAGAGGACTAACCCTAATAGAGGTCGGTGCTGGGAATTCTATAGTTTCAAATTTTAGTTCTCTGTATTTGTCAGAAAAGGCTTGCCACATACTAGGCAAAGTTAATGCAAGAATAAGCAGGCTATTTTTAGAAAGCAACAAAATTTGACTGATCTTAACTTTCTCTACAAGTTTTCTGTAAAAAGAATTAGTGTCTATATAAATTATACAGATTGATAGATAAGCGAAAATCAGAAGTATAAGAATATCCTAATGTAAAAGGATTGGTGGTAAGCAAAAAACAAACAAAACCCAAAAAACTCCAGGAAAAACAGGGATAACCTTAAATAAATGTAAATTTATTTATAATGCTATATACAAATATAGACAATTATTATCAATAAGGTCCAGACGACTCAATTGACAGTACGAAATGGTTTGTTGTAACTTTTTTATAAAATAAATTTTGAGGCTGGGCATGGTGGCTCATGCCTGTAATCCCAGTGCTTTGGGAAGCTGAGGTGGGCAGATCACACGAGGTCAGGAGTTCAAGACCAGCCTGGCCAACATAGCAAAACCCCATCTCTACTAAAAATACAAAAATTAGCTGGGCGTGGTGGTGCATGCCTGTAGTCCCAGCTACTCGGGAGGCTGAGGCAGAAGAATTGCTTGAACCTAGGAGGCAGAGGTTGCAGTGAGCCAGGATTGCACTACTGCACTCCAGCCTGGGCAACAGGGATAGACTCTGTCTCAAATTTAAAAAAGAAAAAAAAATTAAAACAAATTTTGAAATGAGAAAAATGTTTATAAAAGAGAATATGAAAACTTAAGTATGAAAATTAAGTAAATTTGAAATGTAAGCATTTAAGCAGATTTAATCTAGATGCAAATCTTACAGTTGCATTAGCAAAACAACAACAAGCAAAGGGGTAGATATGGAGAAAAGAGAAAGTGAAAGGGGGCTAAGCTTTTTGTTTTAACTGAAAATATGCTGTTTTATTCTAATTCTAACTAATTGTTTTGACAAACTTGAAGATAAACACTAGTAAAATAAAACTTTTTACACATGCATGTGCATTCACATACACACATAATCTTTCAAAGTATAGGAGAAAGGAAAGCAAAGAAAATTTAGGATTAATTCAGACGACAGAAGAGAAGCATAAAGGAAGAATGGAAGAAAGAATTTTGTTAGAAAGACTGACCATATTAATTATAATAAATATAAAAAATAAAGTCCCCTACTGAGAAAAAATCATTCATTTTTTTTCTCTAATTTATGGCATGATTTCCTTTAATAATTAAGATTAATGCAACATACACTTTCAATGTGAAAAATTAAAACTATATTTTTTCCAAAAAAGTAAGATACACAGATGGGTAGACACATACACATTTTAAAGACAGAAGGAGGGCAATGCCTTGCCCTAAGTGAAGAGCTAGGAATGAAGCAGGTTCTCCTGACACTCATTTATTCTGTTTATTCAGCAGGCTATTTATAACACTTTCTCAGGCTTGAGCATACCTCTTAGTCTCTCTTTTGTTTCACCATATACCATGTATTTTTCCTAAAGCCATTTTTATATCAGGTAAGCTATTAAGACACCTGTCACTGAATGTCTAAGAGTAATGACTCACCCACATTTCCAGCCAGTAGTATCCTCGTACATGAATCAGTATACAGCGATGTCAGAGAAATGGCAGAATGTTTTGTGAAAGGTAGCATATCTTTCAGTAGTCTTCCCTAAATAAAGTATAATGCAAATAAAACTTTTTCTTTGCTAGTAAGTCTTATAAAATCTTAATATTGAAATTGATTTTTCTATGTAAATAATGCATCTCAAGAATTATCTCTACTACTGAACCACGATTCCCCTGTTTGTAATGAAAATAATTTTAAACTATCCATAGGGACTTATTTCCTTGAAATTAAATATACTAAAGGTATGGACAACTGTTAATTAGAAGCATCTAGACTCTTGAGTATTATATACTGTTCTACACTTGGGATTGTTTTTGCATATCCCATGACCCTTTTCATGCAATTCCTCAGACTTTCTTTCCGATTACATATTTTCTTTTTATTTCTTTTTTTTAATTTAACTCAAACAGGCATTGACATATTTTCTTTTTAAACAAACATTTTTTTCAGAAGGGAGACACACTTTTAAGTGTATGTCAGTTGTTTTAAACAGAAATATTTGCCTCTTCAGAAATATTTATTTTTTAATACTGGTGCAAGACAAAGAATTGTTAAGAGATTTAAATTCAAACAGGTTGTTTTTCAGCGCTCAGTATAAGCCAGCACTGGGAAAGACTTTAACACGTATTATCTTGCTTAGAGAATAAACATCATCAACATCAAAGCTTGTGAAGAGTTTGAATTTGCTACTCCTTTCCTTAGACTGCTTGGACATAATCTCTTCTCCTCCTATTTCTTTTACTCTTTCATTTCTGTATTAGAAAGAAAAAGGGCATTGTTCTAATACCAAGATTATCTCAAGGAAAGTTATTATTAGAATACTTTGTATTTTCAAACCAGGGTTGTTTTCACGAATAAGCTAGGATCTACTGGTACACTTAGAGTTTTATCTGGCAGAAAGCCATGCGGTTCCGTGTTGTTGGATCCCATTATCTGCCACACAAAACTGTTTTGTGTTCTGAGTTTCTGTGTAGGAAGGAGCCTTATCACAAGCGAGGTCACCTCCTCTGTTTTTCTAAGGATTTCATTTTCTTCACCCTCAGGCTACTCAAGATCCTTCCTTTCATCATCTTCTGTCCTCTTAATTCCACCCTAAATCATTTTAAATCTTCTGGTAAATGAAAGTTGTGTTTTTCTTTGTGAAATATTGAAGAACACTCAATACGATGCAATACCTTCTTTCAACTGTTTGGTAAACTAACAATTTATTGTATACTCAACATTTCAGTGTTCTCACATTCTTTTACTCTAATACACCATTAATATCCTTTAATATTATTTAAATATCCAGTAAGATATTTAGTGGCATATATTTGTAGCTCAATTTAAAAGAAAGATTTGAATATTTTGAATGTATGAACCCATCAAAACTAATGCCCTCGGTCGGGCACAGTGGCTCACGCCTGTAATCGCAGCACTTTGGGAGGCCGAGGCTGGCGGATCACGAGGTCAGGAGTTTGAGACCAGCCTGGCCAACATGGTGAAACCCCGTCTCTACTAAAAATACAAAAATTAGCTGGGTGTGCTGGCACACGCCTATAGCCTCAGCTACTCGAAGGCCGAGGCAGAAGAATCGCTTGAACCGAGGGGTGGAGGTTGCGGTGAGCTGAGATCACGCCACTGCACTCCAGCCTGGGTGACAGAGAGAGACTCCATCTTAAAAAAACAAACAAACAAACAACTAATGCCCTCCTCTCCCCAAATAAAAGAATTATAAGCAGGCTCAATAGATTTTTCTAGTAAATCTTCATGCCGGATTCACCTTTCCTGCTTCTATTAGGGACATAAGGGATGAGACTGAAGCAGTGTGCCAAAGGTGAAGACCTTCCCAGAAATTCCAACTGTGAGGCTTGCATGACCAGTTGAACATTCTTTTCTCAATACGGGTATCTATCTGTATGCAGGTATCTATCCCAGTATGGGTATCTGTCTGTAATGTGTTTGATAGAAAAGTAGAAGAGCTTCCAAAAAGAGAGACATATTTGAAATAGCTAAGTTAGCAGTTTTGATGATTTGATCTTTTGAATTACAAAACCCTTCTCTCGTAAAGTTTGGATAGCGTTATCAATAAACAGGCTGCAAGATCAGCAATTTGGCTAGAAAGTTGAAAAAATATTATAATTGGATGCCATATGGAAGAACACTAAGATTCATTTAATGATTCTTTTTATCTTTCCCATTCTTTCCTATTCCCAGACTTGCTGGGTTCCATTACCTCCAGAGTCCACAAGCGGAGGTGTCCATCCTCATGAGCAGTGACAAGGATAGGTGGCTGGGCTTCTGGTAAATTGGCAATTCCAGGGTGTTTTTTGTCCATTGGCTGTTGCTTTCCCACCATTACATCTGTTTGTTCACCTATTCGAGAAATTAATGAACTATCATGAGGCCAGGCGTGGTGGCTCACACCTGTAATCCCAGCACTTTGGGAGGCCAAGGCAGGTGGATCACTTGAGGTCAGGAGTTCCAGATCAGCCTGGCCAACATGGTGAAACCCCGTCTCTACTAAAAATACAAAAATTAGCCAGGTGTGGTGGTGGGCGCCTGTAATCCCAGCTACTTGGGAGGCTGAGGCAGGAGAATTGCTTGAACCCAGGAGGCAGAGGTTGCAGTGAGCTGAGATGGCACTACTACACTCCAGCCTGGGGGACAGAGTGAAACTCTGTCTCAAAAAAAAAAAAAAAAAAAAAAAAAAAAAGGATCTATCTTGGAATTTGCAATACTTGGAATTCCAAATTTTTATGGAATGTAAAACACAAGGCAGACAAGAAAATAGCAAAAGCCACACATTATTTTTTCCTTTTCTTTTTTTTTTTTTTCACCCAGAGAATTTCAGTCAGGGCAAAGGACAGAAAAAACATTAAAAAATTGAATCCTGGATCACTGAAAAAATATAAAACGTTTATTTTGATCATATTGCAAAAGCTTCTATACTATACATAACAGCTCACACAAGGTATTTATTCATAAATCTTATACATACAGAATGGTGTATAAATGCAGTATAAGTTTTAGAAAAATGGCTAGAGACTAAGAAGTTCAGTAATATTCTGGATTCTTAAAACCTAGAATTAGTATTTAAGAAGGCATCATCATAATGAAAATTCTGCCATTTAGACTACTGAATCCCATAGCACCTCAATGTTTGGTTCCAAAAAGAATATATATATATATATATATATATATATATATATATATATATATGTATGTATGTATGTATATGTATGTATATATGTATATGTGTGTATGTATGTATATATGTATATGTGTGTGGGTATGTGTGTGTATATTATATATACGTATATAATGAATATATATGAATGTATATGAATATATATAATGAATTTATATATTAAGGAATATATATATTCATTAAGAATACTCTGTCACCTAAATGCCCTCTTGCAAAGGAGTTGCTTTATTATAAAGAAGAGAGGTGATTTCATACTGACCTTTAACCTCACTGTCATGTATGCTTTGCTTGCTTCCCTGAATTATGGGAGGAAAAGAGAAAAGACTTCCATGACATTGTAAGAAAATGAGATATACTGGGTGATTAAATTCTCCAGATAGTTGAATTTTCATTTCTAAGCATTACTTTTAAAATTATACTTTAATTTTTTTTTGAAAAAAATGTATTGCAGAGATTTTCATGTCCAGAAATAGAGAATTTATAACACAACATTCTTCTAGCAGTTGAGGTACCAGCATAATAACGAGAGTAATTAAAAATGCCTGATGCATGCTCGGTTCCTGGTTGACATGATCTCTAATTGTATTCACAACCATGCAACTTCATCTTTATTATTCCCTTTTTACTGAAACAGAAACAGAAACTCAGATTAAGTGGCAGCTCTAAAGCTAATCAGATAATAAAAGAAGGACTTGGGTTCAAGTACAATCTGTCTGGCTTTTGCTTCCATGTAAGTTTATTCTTTCCAGTATGCTGGTGATTTAAAAACAATTTTTGCAGTGACAACTTTCCTTCAAACACAGTTCTAACTAGAAATGTAAAGCATAAAAATATATAAAATTGGAACTGAGAACAGTTTGAAAACCACTGCATTACAGTACCTGCTGTCTCTTCTCCCTGTGACATATGTACTTTTTAGCAAAAGAGTACTTACATTTTAGCAAAAGAGATGGTCTAAAATTACTTACTTTTTAAGTATCAAAATAACATGCATAATTTATTTTATTTGTGATTGTATATTGATTATTCACAAATGCAAAAACTTTGAAAAAATATATAAAAATTGAAAAATATATAAAATTGAAAAAACAATTTAGACATTGCATTTTTTGCAAAACAATGCGTTTTTACATATAAGCATGCACACACAGAATTCTTCCACTGTTACCTTCTATCAAAGGAGGGGCTCAAATGTGCTCAATAGCACTATTTTTGAACCAACATTGAGTATGACAGGAAGACAGACCCTGTCTGTGTCTTGCTTACCTTACTGCTCTGTGGACCTTTGCTGGATTCACACTGGGATGAAGAACATATGGAATCCTGACTTGATCTCCTATAAGGGGAGTGGGGAAGCCCACAGGTAAAACTTTAAGATATGCTACCATACTCAAAGGGTGTGCTTCTCTGCTTTAATTTCAGCTGATTGCTTCTTTCATCATCTGTGGATACTGAGCCACTCAGGAAACAAATCATGCCTTATATTCTGTGTAATAAATGTTGACCAGTATGATATTGGTGGAGACTCTTGGGGAGCCTCAGCAAATAAGGTTTATTGCTCCCTTTGTCAGAAAATAAAAGTCTTGCCTATCCCACTGCAAAGGCTAGATTTAGTCCCAGAGGCTCTTACACTGAAATGGCAAGGGGTGGGGTGGTGGTGGGGGGACCTTACAAGCCTGTCTAACTTCCTGCTTGACAATGTCTAGTTCTCACCAGATCCTAGTCTGTGGCACTCCACTGAAACCGGCTGAAAAGTGGCTTAAGGTCTGGTGCAGATGTCTACAGAATAAGTCCTCAAAATATTCTCAGAACAGTTTTGATGAAATTTCATGCCAAGGGGTAGGGAAGGGGTTACATTCTGGCTCACCTCTGGGTGACCCCAAACCAGCACAGAAGCTTCTGATTTCTCTCCAAAGCTATGTGTGGCATTATCTATTGCCTGCAAACCAGAGCTCTTATGCAAATATAAATAGGAAAAAAGGGATTTTTTCTTAAATCCCTTGCTCTTTCAGAAATGGATGACAATTGCTCAGTTATAGTGGATGGTGGATGAAACCTCCTGCCATATGACCTTCCATACTTGCCTTGCAAGTCCTTCCTTCTGTTTCACACCTGTGTCAGATTTTGGCGAAAAGTAAAGCCAAGTGATCATTTTCCATCTCTGCTATGTGATAAAGGGTGCTGTGAGGCTGACATGGTGAGGGGACCACACAGCACTTTAAATCCCTGAGGAGAACCTCACCTCCAAAATGACAGTTATGGGAAGAAAGCGGAAGCCACGTGTCAACCCAACTGATGTCTTTTTTCAGTGGTCCCTTCTTTAATGCTGGGATGAAGTAAACTCTTTCTATTACTTTCAATGGCAAAAACCACAATTAATTTTGCATCAACCTAATGTATCAGCCACCTAAGTCCCAGACAGTATTACTGGTTCAGTAAGTAACGAGTTACCTTGCACATTCAGGGGTACGAAAGAGGAACAGTATGTCATTAATTTTAAAGTGCTTGGGATGCAAGTCAGGGTTTACAGTGAAGCAATCTTCAGGTCGGTACCTAGAAGTAAGTATACATTTATATGAGAAAAAATTCACAAATTATGGAGCTTACAGTACTAAGATTGTATATCCTCTGCAGAGCTAGGCAATTCCTCAAATGCTAATATTATTGAACATGAAAAGAAAATGCAAGGAAGTAGAGTTTGAACATAGCTTTTTTAGCAAGGTTCTGTTAAATCATGATCCTCAACGGTTTAAAAGTCTTTTAATTCAACTAACCTGTCTAATCTTCCTACCTTTAGATCAGAGAATGGACTTCTACAAAATCCTATGGAAAAAACTCTATTTTATTTTACTTTTAGAGATGGGGGCCAACTATGTTGCCCAGACTGGTCTTGAACTCCTGGGCTCAAGCGATCCTCCTGCCTCAGCCTCCCAAAGTGCTGGGATTACTGATGGGAGCCACCACGCCGGGCTGGTTTCATACAGTTTAAATAATAGAGTTCTAATATTTTTTAAATAAGTGGAGTAATAAATTTGAATAAAATATTATTACCCTTAAAGAGCTTATAATGGAGTGGAGAAGAACAGGTAGTCCAGTGAGGACCCTGCTCTTGCTGCTCCAGTCTCCTGTTGACCCAGATTCCAAGGTCAACACTGAACTTTGTAGGCACCATCCTAGGAACAGGGGAATAGTCCCTAAATGCCTGCACTGAAACATCATGCCTGGCTCTTAAAGCTGCATTTAACATTCATTATAGCAAATAGACCTTACAGCAAAATTTCCCCTGTTTCTTCAGTGGAAATTACTTCTGCAAGAGATGAAGGGGCCTCCTGGAAAGTGAACCCAAGCTCAAAAGAGAAGTCTACAAGCTTGATGACTTGTTGAACTCAAATTTTTTAAGAGATTTCTGTTGTGCAGATGAGCTGAATCATGAAGTGGATTATTAATTAGCAAGAATAATATTAAGTCTGGGCTCAAAAAGCCTGAGGCTTAGAGTGGGAAGAGAAGAGTTATTTCCTCTGACTGGTGAAGGGGTCTTAGGTGAAGTTTGTGGTAGACAAAGAGATGGACTCTACTGCAAATATGGAAACCATTTTCAGTTTCAGAACTTTTAAACCTGGGCCTAAATGACCTTCCACAGATCTGTGCTAAATCATATGTTTTGCAAAATACTGCACTGATTATAAATCAATTGTCTTATATAATCATCTGCCTATAGGAAAGGGACACTGTGTATGACCCACACTATACTTGGTTGTTTTCCTCTGATTGGATGTTGGATATGCATGCATCCCTTGGCAAAATAACAAGGCACTTTAACAAGGAGGATCTTCACCTTTAAAGTGGGATTATTATCACGGGTGTTGCCCCCCTCTTTAGGCTGTGGCATCAAGATAATGGTCTTCTTAGTCTATCTGATTTCCCTTCTTAGGAAAGAGTCATACACAAGCTGACACAGCGTGAAAGCATTAGCAAGAAGGAGGGGAAGTTTGCAGTGCAGACAGGTGTAGGTATCAAGTGGCAGGTAGACAATGTGTGAGAAAAGGCTGGGGGCATGGGCTGAAGTGAAGGAACAGAAGGATGACAGGAATTCCAGGGGCAGGATCCAGGAGTATGTGGACTGAGGTGCAGAAAGGGGGGTCTGCAGAAACAGCTATTTCAATTAAAGGTTCAAAGAGAAGAAATCCATAGTCCAAGCAATAAATGATTATTTCCTTTCAAAAACTGGCTAAAAGAAATGACTCAGGCTTGGATGGGAAGGAGCAGGCAGACCAGCAGTATGTTAAGAAGTGTAAAGAGAGAGGCAGACATTTCTTTTGTATTTTCCTCTCCTTTTCTCCTGTCCTTTCCAATTCTCCCTTCTCTCCTCTTTTATATCTCTTCCCGTCCCCCAAATGCTTAGATAAACTTGATTTTATTTTCATTTATTATTAAGGTTCTTGGCCATCTTGTATCTGTAAGTAAAATTTTCCAAACCCCCTTGCCATAGGGTGGCCACACATGGCCCTTGCACACGTTCCAATTACACAGCTGGGGAGAACTTATTACTTACAATCCATCCAAACAAATCATTCAGTGTTACTTTAGTTCCTTCTCAACAAATGCAAAAAAAAAAAAACATTGAGAAGTGGATGGTATGGGGAGGGTAAGATCTTGGCCATAGTCCAGGGTAAATCTAATTGGTTGAGAGGAATAATTGCATCTACAACATTGGCCCTTGTTAGCCCCAATCTGTAATAAATCAGACGTGTTGAGGTGGTGAATGAGAAGGATATGCTACCCAGGAGTCTTCTCACCATGTGACTTTGGTGGCTGAGTAGATGGTGGTGGCACTGGGGATACAGGAAGGGGAGAAGTTTGGGAGCGGGGAGTAGGTTGGGAAGATGTTTCAGGCATGTAGGGCTTTGAGGGTCTTGGTAACAATCAGATGAAAATTGCCAATAGGCAATTGGTTATGTGTGTTTGAAGCTCTAGAGAGATTAGTTTGAAGTTGTTATGTATTTTAATTATTTGTTGAGGTCATAAATTTGGGCAAGATCACACATGAAAAGCATATACTAGTTGAGAATAGTAAAGATCAAAGCTCTTGGGAATATAGATGCTTACAGTTCACCTTACTTATATCATCCTGGGATTTAGACACTTAGAACACAGTCCATTCATGAATATAACTTCCAGGAACGCCTGCCTTGAAAGTTATCACCATTTTTATGTATTGCTTTTTTGTCCCCTGAGGTTTTTTTTTTTTTTTTTATACTGAGTTTCACTCACTCTGTCACCCAGGATGTAGTGCGGTGGTGTGATCTCAGCTCACTGCTACCTCCACCTCCCAGGTTCAAGCAATTCTCATGCCTCACCCTCTCCATTAGATAGGATTACAGGCAGGCGCCACTGCGCCCTGCTACTTTTTGTATTTTTAGTAGAGACAGGGTTTCACCATGTTGGTAAGGCTGATCTCGAACTCCTGGCCTTAAGTGATCCTCCTCCCAAAGTTCTGGGTTTACAGACCTGAGCCACCGCGCCCAGCCCTTCCCTGAGTGTTGCATGCTACTGAGCCCTTCTGCAGTAAAGCTTTTACATTGTTTAAGGATAATACACAACTTACACTTTTTTGACAGTAGACGTCACAAAATTCCATAAGATGATCACACCATTTAAGGTTCCAGCTGCTATCAAATTATATCCTTCTACTTGTAGTAAATCAATGCAGTTCACTCGTAATAAATCCATGGTGGGATTCTGAAGAACGAAGGAAACAGAACACCATAAATATAGTATTCATGATTCGCGGTGCAAACGCCATGTGTACACTTTGTAATTGTCATCAACTTAAAACAAAATGCCTTATTATATATATTTTTAATATCAGAGCATGAAATTTAGTAAAATCTTATTTTTCTTGCACTAAAATTTTTAACTGGCAGAATTCATTAGATCAACAAATATATACTCTTCCTGTTTACTGGCTGCTTTTTCTCAGCCTTATTTATTCTTTCTTCCCAACTTTCTTCCCGTCTTCCTCTTCCCTTCAAACTTGTTGAAAGAATATTCTACGTTCGTCGTTTCCACTTACCAACTTTTCTTTCACTCAGCAAATTTCATTGGCTTCTGCTTCATAACACCCTGTGATAGCTATTTATCATTAAGATCTTTTTCAATTGTCTTGCCTCAAATATTTGTTAGATATCTACTATGTTAGATATTTGGAATACAAAGTCAAGTAGGACATCTGTGATCTGGAGAAACATAATACTTTAAAGTACTCAAAGTGTTGATTACAGTGCAATGTGAAAGTGCTGTATCGGAGGGAGGCACGCATGTAACTTGACAGGATCATAGAAGAGTGACATTTAAATAAGAGGAGAGGTCTATTACCACTGTCAATTACCACTCTCAGTTGCTCTCCCCTTCCTGAAACTCCTTACTCTCCTGACGTCCTTGACTCCAGGCTTTGCTGGTTTTGCTGTGTCTCTGCGACTTTTCTTTTTCTGTTTCCTACTTGGTACCCTCTTGCTCTGCCAGTCTTTTAAATATTAATATTTTTGGGGTTTATCTCAAATACATTTTTTTTCAACTGTTTCTGAGGAATCTCAGATTATGTTTCAAATATCTCAATGCTAGTGACCTAATTATCTAGTCCAGTCCTCTCCTACAAGCTTCAGGCTTATATATTTAATTACTTAGACATTTTACAGGTATCTCAATGTTAATATATGTAACTTATCACCTCCTTTAGGCATGTTTCTTTGCTCTATTCTTTTTTTTTTTTCAGAGACAGATCTCCCTCTGTTGCCCAGACTGGAGTACAGTGGAATGATCACAGCTTACTGCAGCCTCGACTTCCTGGGCTCAAGCGATCCTCCCACCTTGGGCTCTGGAGTAGCTGGGACCACAGGTGGGTGCTACCATGCCTGGCTAATGTTTTGATTTTTTTTGTAGAGACAAGGTCTCACTATGTTGCCAGGCTGGTCTCAAATTCCTGAGCTCAAGTAATCCACCTACTTCAGCCTCCCAAAGTTCTGGGATTATAGGCATGAGCCATAGTGCCCAGTCCTCTATTCTTTATTTCATTGGTTAGCGCTATTTTTCAGTTCATCATTCAAGTTAGAAATCCTGGAACTGTCCTTCTTTCCTTCCTTTCTTTCAGTGCCCTCCTCTCCCAACTGCATGGTGTAATTGCAAGTTATGCTACTTTTACTGCCTAGATATTTTCTGAAACCAGAACATTTTCTTCTGCACCATCTCCATTGTCATGACCTTATATCTTTTATTATTTTATCATTGTAAATTTCTTTAGAGACAGAATCTTGATCTGTCACTCAAGCTGGTCTGCAGTGGTGCAATCATAGCTCACTACAACCTCGAACTCCTGGGCTCAAGCACTCCTCCCACCACAGCCTCCCAAATAGCTTGACTGAAGGTGCACGCCGCTGCACCCAAATAATTTTTTTAAATTTTTAAAAATTTTTTTGTAGAGATGGGGCCTATGTTGCCCAGGCTGGCCTCGAACTCCTGGCCTCAAGTGATCCTCTCACCTTGGCCTCCCAAAATGCTGAGATTACAGGTGTGAGCCACTGAGCCTGGTCATCCTTATATCTTTTAACTAAAACAGGAAGTAGCCTGTTGCCTGAATCTTCTGCCTTTAGTCCTGTCCCTGTCAAATCTGTCATCCAGGCAGCATCAAAGATGAGCTGCCCACAGCACAAATCTGATCGTGTCATTTCTCATTTAAAGCCCTTCCATGGCCTTCCATTTGTTATAGGATGCTCAAGCTCCTTATTCTTGTAAGCATGGTCTGGTCCCTACCTATTTGTTTGTCTTCATTTTTAACTACTCCCAGTATTACTCCAGCCACACTGAGATACTTGTAGTTATCCTTCACAAACCATGCAATATTTTACCTCCATTATTTCGTTCACATTACCTCTTCCACTTGAGATTCACTGTCTTTTCACTATCCTCTAGAAACTGCCTATCTGAGCCAAGCTAACTCCTGATAGTTCTTTAGCTATAATTCAGCAATTATCCTCTTCAAAAACCTCCCCGTCTCCCCAGCCCTCCAGGATCTCTGCTGTACTTCTACAGTGCAGGTACTATACCTCATTAATCTTGACATTCCCAGTGCTAAGAACAGTGCATGATACGGTGGCAGGTATTCAATAAAAAGTGCTTCTAAATAAAAGAGTTTTAGGGAGAGGATTTCCATGCACAATCAAATTTTTTTCCTAATTGACTTTTGCAAACTTTTCTTTGAGACTGAGTCTTGCTCTGTTGCCAAGGCTGGAGTGCAATGGCATGATCTCAGCTCACTGCATCCTCCACCTTCCAGGTTCAAGTGATTCTCATGCCTCAGCCTCCCCCGTAGCTAGGATTACAGGCGTACGCCACCATACCTGGCTAACTTTTGTATTTTTATTAAGGATGAGGTTTCGCTGGCCAGGCTGGTCTGGAACTCCTGACCTCAAGTTATCTGCCCGCCTTGGCCTCCCAAAGTGCCGGGATTACAGGTGTGAGCCACTGTGCCTGGCCGACTTTTGCAAACTTTCAATCTATAATTTTAAAGTCTGTTGCAAAAAGGAAGTGCTATAATGATAATTATGATAACTACAAAAAATAAAGATTCAAAATTGGAGATAATTTACATTTACATTAAAAGCCTACAAGGCACTTTATTGTGTTTCAATAGTTTATAATTTATCACCATAGTTTTTCTTTTTTTTTTAAGCAATCATTTTTTGGTACCTACACAATTATTTGTTAACTGCCTGGTTCTGACTCACTGTGCAGTCATCTTCTTTCTGTTTTTATTAGCTATAAATAAGATTTCATATATCAAATACATATAATTGAACCTAGTGTTTCCAATTATATGTAGAGTTGAAAAGGGAAGTAGGCTAGAATTGGTCTACGAGGACATGCATTTTGTTCTGTCTTTTGTGCATATTACATGATAACGTTATTATGACATAGTCACTGTGTATATTGATTTTAAAGGGCTTTTAGCTAAGAATAAAACCTACTTATCATTTAAACTAGCAATGAATGACATTCAAATTGCAGTTCCAAACTGACATTTGTTTCAATATGAGGAAAACTAATACAGTATGTTTCCGTTCTATGACAAAATAATTGTTTCCAAATTCCATAAACCAGCTATATTATTATTCTATTTTTTTTTTTTTGCAAGGAAGCTTTATGGTTAATAATAATAAAAAAGGAAATAAATTATATTATGGTTGTTTTGCTAATGTCAGGGAGAAAAAAACTGAAGACTTTTCTCAATTGCTCCTGCTGTAACTTGCAGTTTTCTTCCATTCTTTAGTGTCTGACCACTTATCTCTCTAAAAGCTGAAAAGTGCAAAAGGTTTGATTAGAGTACTATAATATTAGAGTAAATCAAAAAAGTTAGTGAAGATCCTCGTTAAAAAAACAATTGGTTTAAATTTTTATGGGAACAAAAAGGTACAGTTTTCTTATTCTCTATTCTTCAGCCTCAAACATATGCCCCAAACACTTCATCCCTCAGACATGCACACATGCGCCTGCCTTGTTGAGGAGGTGTAAGCATATCACAAAAATAGCTTTCTGAAGAGATGTTAAATTAAGTTGTTGAATTCAACATATACAGCTACTTTACTCAGAAAAAAAAAAGATTCCTTTCAAAATATTACTGCTCATTGAAAATGCACCCAGGAGCTCTGATGGAGATGTACAACGTGAATGTTGTTTTCATGCCGGTGAATACAGTATTCCTTCTGCAGCCCGTGGATCAAGGGGAAATTTTGACCTTCAAGTCTTATTATTTAAGAAATACATTTTGTAAGGCTATAGCTGCCATAGATAGTGGTTCCTATGATAAATCTGGTTGCTCAAAGTAAATTGAAAACTTTCCAGAAAGAATTCACTATTCTAGATGCCATTAAGACATTTGTGATTCATGGGAGGAGGTCAAAATAGCAACATGGACAGGAATTTGGAAGAAGAGGATTCTAACCCTCAAAGATATTTGGAAGGGTTCAAGACTTCAGTGGAGAAAGTGACTGAAGATGTAGAAATAGCAAGAGAACTAGAATTAGAAGCGAAGCGTAACTTGCTGCAATCTCACGATAAAACTTGAATGGATGAGGAGTTGCTTCTCATGGATGAGCAAAGAAAGTTGTTTCTTGAGATGGAATCTGCTGTGAACATTGCTGAAATGACAACAAAGGACTTAGGATATTACCTAAACTTAGATGATTGGGCAGAGGCAGGGTTTAAGAGAATTAACACCAATTTTTGAAAGAAATTTTACTGTGGGTAAAATGCTATCAGCATCACATGCTACCGAGAAATTTTTCAAAAAGGACTAATATCCATAATATATCTTCCTAATTATCTATATATACATATATATATATTTCTAATGTATCTAATATACAACAAACTTTTAAAACATTAGAAGGAAAAGAACAACAACATAGATAGAAAAATTGACAAAAAATATGAACAAATAGTCCATATGTGTATTAAAAAGATGCTCCACTCACTCATTATAAGATAAATGCAAATTAAAGTATACCAAATTATATTTTAACAAGAAGGGTAAGTTTGGGGCTATATTAAAGGTCATAGAATGGTTGTTCATTTTTTTCTGGCCAATTATTATTTCACTATTTTTACATCATGTAATTTTAACTAGATTTTTCAATGTCAGTTAATAAAATTCCAACTTTCTCTTTTCATAGGTTTTTATCTTTTTAAAAGTCTTCTCATTTTGCTCTCACTTGTTCAAGTATAAAGGCACTTGTTTTGATTTCTCATCTACATTTGAAAAAGTTCAAAAGTTTTGACTATAATATACACTGCTGGCAAGGCTGTGGGGAAATAGGCAGTCTCACATATTAGTGGCAGTGCAGAGCTGTGTAACTTCTGTGAAGGGGAGTTTGATAATGTCTAGGATGATTGTATTAGCATTTACTTTTTGACCCAGCAACCAATCCCTCTTCTTGGAATCTATCCCAAAGACACACTGTCAAAAATGGAAACTAGCCGGGCGTGGTGGTGGGCGCCTGTAATCCCAGCTACTCGGGAGGCTGAGGCAGGAGAATGGCATGAACCCAAGAGGCGGAGCTTGCAGTGAGCCGGGATAGCGCCACTGCAGTCCAGCTTGGGCGAAAGAGTGAGACTCCGTCTCAAAAAAAAAAAAAAAAAAAAAAAATGGAAACCCACTATATATATATATAAAATAAAGTATATATATATTTTGTAAAGTATATGTATATACTTTAATTTGCATTTATCTTATAATGAGTGAGTGGAGCATCTTGCTAATACATGCTTGGACTATTTCTTCATATCTTTTGTCAATTTTCTATCTAAGTTGTTCTTTTCCTTCTAATGTTTTAAAAGTTTGCTGTATATTAGATATTAGGAAGATATATTATGGATATTAGTCCTTTTGTGATATAAGTTCCACATATTTTTTCCAGCTTCTTATTAGTGTTTTCATTTTGTGTATGGCCTTCTTTGCCATGGCAATGCTAAGTTCTGGGAAGCTGGGTGTAGATGAGGCTTCCGGTTATCAGGAACTACTTCTTGGAATAATCGTAAGTCTTTTTCATATAAATATAAATATATATATATATATGGCTATTTGTTGCAGCACTACTTTTAATTGGAAAAGATTAAAAACAACCCAAATGGCCACCTACAGGGGACTAGTTGAATAAACAATGGTACATCTATTCACATGAAATACTATAGCATTTTCAAAAAGAAAAATGAAATACATGTACACCCATGTTCATGGCAGCATTCTATTAATAGCAAAAAAGTGAAAGCAACCCAAGTATCCATTGATGGATGAATGGGTAAACAACATGTGTTCTATGCAAACAATGGAATAATGTTCAGCCTTTAAAAGGAAGGACGCTGTGACATACGCTACACATAGATGAATCTTCAGGACATCACGCTAAGTGAAACAAACCAGTCACAAAAGAGAAATACCATATGTTTCTGCTTATATGAGATCCTCAGTGTAAGTTCGTAGAGATGGAAATTAGAATGCTGGTTGCCAGGAGCTGGAGAGAAGGGGAAATAGGGAGTTATTGTTTAATAAATAGAGATTCAGTTTTGCAAGATGAAAGCATCTGGAGATGGATGGTGATGAAGGTTGTGCAACAATGTGAATATACTTAATGTCCCTAACTGTGCACCTAAAAATAGTCTAAGTGGTAAATATTACTTTACGTGTATGTTACCACAATTTAAAAAAAAAGAAAGGTGAAGATCTCTATATACTGCTTATAATGGTCTCCAGAATAGATTATTAAATAAAGCAAGGAATACAAGGATGTAAATAATATTCTATCATTTGCTTAAGAAGGTAGAGAGGGAGCCAAGTATTTGATTATATTTTTTAAAAAGAGCATGGAAACATAAACCAAAAACTTAAAAACAAAAAGAACTATAGGTTAAGAAGGGAACAAGGTGGAAAGGACAGGAATACAATAGACTTTGTTCTGTAGCTCAGAATAGAACTTGTTTTGTAATTTGATCTTAGAAATATATAAATGTTTTACACAACAATAAAACAAAACTGAATTTTAAGAACACAATACATTTTAAAAATGAAGCAAACTTAACTGTATATAGAGTTGGTGGTACAAGGAATTATTTTAAGCAATTTTAAAGCACAGTAATTTGACAGTACATTCCACATGCTATATACCCTAAGGACAAAAAGAACTGCAAAAAAAGGAAGATTTTGAGCTGTGTCAGGTATCATGTTCCTAGTAATTTTATTGTTTTCTGAAACTAGAATATAATGTAATGTACAATGATAGCACATAAAATGACATAACCTGTATATTATATAGAAGAATACATTATATAAATAATAGCATAAAGCAAATAAGTAATGATGCTTGTATCATTAGAAATCAAAATTTTCCGAGAGAAAGATATAAAATAAAATAAAATTAGTAAAAGCCATATAACCTTACATTTGAATTGGGAATATCAGTGCAAAATAGTAGTGCATTTTCTCTTAATGTTTTTTCTTAGCTGTCTATTGAAAAAGTCTAAAAATAAGAACCAACCTACTGGTAGTGGTTTTTTAAAATACTATTTCCCACTAAAAAGAAGTAGAATATATTGGAGAAACAGTGGATTTTAGATCTGGAAAGAAATGTACAAGATGAGCCTGGATCATCTTGTCATACCTGGAAGCTATCCAGAATGTCTGAGGTCACATCAGAGGAACTCAGGAGCCTGAAGAGGCTCCAACCAGTTTCAGATGGGACAGTTTGGGCATCAATAATAATAGTAGCAAATTAAATTGACTGAAACACATCAAGAGCATTTAAATTTGTGAGTCAATAATGATATTAAGTAAACAAAATTCACAGACCACCTTTGGAAGATGCTAGGAAACCTATTCTTCACTTTAAAATTGATAAATATAAGGAGCAAATCATCAATTAGTTTGCTTTTCTATATAAACTGTACCTCAGTGTAACCAAATATTTGGTAAAGGAGAGGTTTTCTTTACACACGTTCCAGTAATAAATGAAGCAGAAAGGCAGTATGGTGACTTTGAATGAAAATAATAGGCCTAGGTAGTGATCATCAATGGCTGCTGAGATACAAAAAAAAAAAAGACAACTGGTCATTATGAGAATCTTGATGGAATACAGGACAGCACCTATGAAGGTGTCTTGCTAAAGAAAAAAAAAAATCAATGTTGTAGTCAATTAAGCCACCAGATTTAACTACCAGATTGCAGGAAGTACAGCGGAACTTCTTAAATAACACCATGAGGGTGCAATCAGCAAAATCCAGAAAGTGGAAAACTATGGCGTCAACTGTCCAGTTTCTTCAGGACATAAATTGCAAGGAGAGAAAAAAAAGATATTTAACAGGTTTTTCCAACCAAATGCAACAAATAAACCTTGTTTGGATCTTGGTTGTTGAAACCAACCATAAGAAAGAAATTATAAGGATATCTGGAAAATTTGAACACTGAATGAATATGTGATGAGATTAACAACTTCTTACAAATTATTTTTAATATATTTTAGAAAATAATGGTATTATTTTTGAAATAGTCATTATTGTTTAGAGATATATACTGAAATATAAAGGGATGAAATGACACAATGTTTGAGATTTGCTTCAAAATCCATTGGTGGGCCAGGCACGGTGTCTTATGCCTGTAATTCCAGCGTTCTGGGGGGCTGAGGCAGGAGGGTCACTTGAGCCCAGGTGTTGGTAGCATGGGCAACAGAGCAGAACCCTGTCTCAAAAAAAAAAAAAAAAAAAAAACAAATCCATTGGTGGTGGTCGTGGTGAAGAGGTGGAAATAAGGAGTAAGTTTGGTCATATACAGAAAGTTCTCGAAGCTGAGTGATAACACATAGAAGCTCTTTGTATTATTTTCTGTACCTTTATATATGTTTGTAAATTTCCATAACAAAAAGCAAAAGTTAAAAAGAAACCAAGAGAGGAAACTTACATCAGTAGGTTGAGAAAAGTTCCTCTCAACTATCAACTCGACATCTGGGAAAGGAATAGCCATGTTCCTGTCTCTAGTAGACATTCTCAGATGCACAGCATGTTTCCCATCTTGTAGGAAAGGCACAACATCAGGCAGCTCCCAGATCACCATGAGGTAGATATCATCTTCCTTACCCTTTAACAGAAATCCAGTGAGTGCATGAAAAGTTCAATTATTTTATTTTGAACTGTTTTAAAGAGATAGAGAAAATAGAACCTACAATGATGTATCTACCATCTAGCTTTACCAAATCTTCAGCCCCATCTATTCCTTGCTTATTAATATAATTCCTCTTTCTTCCCTCCCTAGAGTAACCAGTAATGTGAATATGATGTTAGTCATGAAAGTTTTAATATTTCTACATATACATACATATACTTTCTACATATATATATGATAGTGCTTTCAGACTTTAAGCCATTTTATGAATGCTGTCCAACTGTATGGATTCTTCTTCAACTTTCTTATTTCACTCAATAGGATGTTTTTGAGATTTATACAAGTTATTTCATGGAACTCCAGTTCATTTATTTTTAACTGCTTTATCGTGTAATATAAACATACTACAATTTATTTGTCCATTCCCCTACTGACGGATGTTCAGGATGCCAATTTGGTACTGCTTTCCTTTACAGACAGGTGGCACAGTTTCTAGAGCATGTATCTGGGGTAAAATGACCTAACTATAAGATATGCATATCTTCAACTTTTCTAGCTATCACCAAACCACTTCTCTAGGTAGTGTTTAGCTATGTTCACTCTCACCAGGAGTAGAGGAGAGTTTCCCTTTCTTCATATTCTTGCTAACACTTGGTATTATTTTATTTTCTTAGTTGTTTTGCCCGATGAATATGAAATGGGACCCTTTAATTTTTAATACCCTTTCAAATAGGAAGACAGGAAGTCAAATTGTCTCTGTTTGCAGATGACACGATTCTATATTTAGAAAACCCCATCATTTCAGCCCAAAATCTCCTTAAGCAACTTCAGCAAAGTCTCAGGATACAAAATAAATGTGCAAAAATCACAAGCATTCCTATACACCAGCAATAGACAAACAGAGAACCAAATCATGAGTGAAGTCCCATTCACAGTTACTACGAAGAGAATAAAATATGTAGGAATACAACTTACAAGGGATGTGAAGGACCTCTTCAAGGAGAACTATAAACCACTGCTCAAGGAAATAAGAGAGGACACAAACAAATGGAAAAACATCCCATGCTCATGGATAGGAAGATCAATATCGTGAAAATGGCCATACTAACCAAAATAATTTATAGATTCAATGTTATCCCCATCAAACTACCATTGACTTTCTTCACAGAATTAGAAACAACTACTTTAAATTTCATATGGAACCAAAAAAGAGCCCGTATAGCCATGAAAATCCTAAGCAAAAAGAACAAAGCTGGAGGCATCACACTCCCTGACTTTGAACTATACTACAAGGCTACAGTAACTAAAACAGCATGGTACTAGTACCAAAACAGACATATAGACCAATGGATCAGAACAGAGGCCTCAGGAATAATGCCACACATCTACAACCATCTGATCTTTGACAAACCTGACAAAAACAAGCAATGGGGAAAGGATTCCCTATTTAATAAATGGTGCTGGGAAAACTGGCTAGCCATATATGCAGAAAACTGAAACTGGACCCCTTCCTTACACCTTATACAAAAATTAATTCAAGATGGATTAAAGACTTAAATGTAAGACCTAAAACCATAAAAACCCTAGAAGAAAACCTAGGCAATACCATTCAGGACATAGGCATGGGCAAAGACTTCATGACTAAAACACCAAAAGCAATGGCAACAAAAGCCAAAATTGACAAATAAGATCTAATTAAACTAAAGAGCTTCTGCACAGCAAAAGAAACTATCATCAGAGTGAACAGGCAATCTACAGAATGGGAGAAAATTTTGCAATCTATCTGACAAAGGGGTAATATGCAGAATCTACAAAGAACTTAAACAAATTTACAAGAAAAAAACAACCCCATTAACAAGTGGGTGAAGGATATGAACAGACACTTCTCAAAAGAAGACATTTATGCAGCCAACAAACATGAAAAAAAGCTCATCATCACTGGTCGTTAGAGAAATGCAAATCAAAACCAAAAAGAGACACCATCTCATGCCAGTTAGATGGCAATCATTAAAAAGTCAGGAAACAACAGATGCTGGAGAGGATATGGAGAAATAGGAATGCTTTTACACTGTTGGTGGGAGTGTAAACTAGTTCAACCATTGTGGAAGACAGTGTGGCAATTCCTCAGGGATCTAGAACCAGAAATACCATTAGACCCAGCAATCCTATTACTTGGTATATACCCAAAGGATTATAAATCATTCTACCATAAAGACACATGCACACCTATCTTTATTGCAGCACTATTCACAATAGCAAAGACTTGGAACCAACCTAAATGCCCATCAATGATAGACTGGATAAAGAAACTGTGGCACATATACAACATGGAATACTGTGCAGCCATAAAAAAAGAATGAGTTCATGTCCTTTGCAGGGTTATGGATGAAGCTGGAAACCATTATTCTCAGCAAACAACACAGGAACAGAAAACCAAACACCGCATGTTCCCACTCATAAGTGGGAGTTGAACAATGAGAACACACAGACACAGGGAGGGGAACATCACACACTGGGGCCTGTCAGGGGGTGGGGGGCTAGGGGAGCAATGGTGTTAGGAGAAATGGCTAATGTAGATGACGGGTTGATGGGTGCAGCAAACCACCATGGCACGTGTATACCTGTGTAACAAACCTGCACGGGCCAGGCAAGGTGGCTGACGCCTGTAATTCCAGCACTTTGGGAGGCTGAGGCCAGCAGATCACGAGGTCAAGAGATTGAGACTATCCTGGCCAACATGGTGAAACCCTGTCTCTACTAAAAATACAAAAATTAGCTGGGCATGGTAGCATGTGCCTGTAGTCCCAGCTACTCGGGAGGCTGAGGCAGGAGAATCGCTTGAACCCAGGAGGCAGAGATTGCAATGAGCCATGATCATGCCACTGCACTCCAGCCTGGTGACAGAGCGAGACTCCATCTCAAAAAAAAAAAAAAAAAAGAAAAAGAAAAAAAGGAAAAAAAACCCTGCACGTTCTGCACATGTATCCCAGACCTCAAAGTATATAAAAAAAGATACTAAATATGAAAACTATTTACCACTATTAAAAAAATTTAAAAAACAATAAAACTAATTTTTAAACATATTAGTTAAATTAATCATATTTCCCTGAGTGTTGTGAGTTGAACATTTTTTCATGTGTCTGCGAGCCATCTGGATTTCCTTACCTGTCCTTTGTTCATTTTTCTAATCTGTGGAGTTTTTTTTCTGCATTTTGGGGGTTTCTTTATATATCCTGGTTCCTAACCCTTCTTCAGTTAGCTAGAGTGCAATGGTCTTTTCACGGTCTGTGACTTGTCTTTTCACTTTGTTTTTTTAGACAAGCTTTTATTTTTAATTTGAATGTAATAATGATACCTTTGCCATATCCCATCTGTGGATGTGGTATATCTCTCCATTTATTCAGATTTTTTTCACATCCTTTAAGATTTATTTCCACAAAACTTTTGCATGGTTCTTGCTACGTTTATTTTAGGTACCTTATACTTTTGTTTGCTATTGTGATGTGATCATTTATTCCACCTGTACTATCTTTATGTTTTCTTTCGTGAGTGTGTGTGACAGTGCCTTGCTCTGTCGCCCAGTCGGGAGTGTAGTGGTGCTATTTTGGCTCACTGCAATCTCTGCCTTCCAGGCTCAGGTGATCCTCCCACCTCAGTCTCCCAGGTAGGTGGGACTACAGGCATGCACCACTACACCCGGCTAATTTTTGTATTTTTTGTAGAGATGGAGTTTTGCCATATTGGCCAGGATGGTCTTGAACTCCTGGCCTCAAGCAATCTGCCTGCCTTGGCCTTCCAAACTGCTGAGATTACAGGCGTGAGCCACCATGCTGGGCCATATTTATATTTTCTAACTGGTTATTATTGATGAGAGGCCATTAATTTTTAATTTTTGAATTGTTATATGAGAATAAAAGTCAAAATTTTAAGGTCAATTATTTTGCTTGCAGAACAGGACTCTTTCTATGTTGAAAAGCAGCTATGGAAAAGTGGAGAGAATATTGGTCTAGGAGTGAAGACAGCCAGTTTCTAGTCTTAGTTCTTGTGGGACCTCGGGCAAGGTACATACCTTCTTTGGCCCTATTTTTCTTATTTGCAAAATGAGGGCTTTAGCTAGTTGATGGATAAAAGTCCTTCCATTTTTTAAAGCTTTGATTTTAGGTGTTGCCCTAAGGCCTCTGTTACTTCATATCCATGTTAATTTAAAAGTATGGGCCCATAGTACTCCTACGTACTGGTGGATTCTTTGTTTACAGTTTGTGCCATTGTGGGATAGAAGGAATGAATCTCAGCAATATCTCAAGAGTGACCAGATATTGACACTGAGTAATAGCTTAGTTAGATTTATGTGCCCACCTGGTGGTATGAGTTATTGACAGTGGTTTGTTTTTTGTGTGTGTGTCTTTTTGAGACAGAGTCTTGCTCTGTCGCCCAGGCTGGAGTGCAGTGGTGCAATTTTGGCTCACTGCAGCCTTGACTTCCCAGGATCAAGCAATTCTCCCACCTCAGCTCCCCAAGTAGCTGAGACTACAGGTGTGTGACACCATGCCTGGCTAATTTTTACATTTTTTGGTAGAGATGGTGTCTCACTATGTTGCCCAGGCTGGTCTCAAACTCCTAACCTCAAGCTATCCTCCTGCCTTGGCCTCCCAAAGTGCTGAGATCACAGGCATGAGCCACTATATCCAGCCCAACAGTGGTTTTTAATAGGTTTAACCGGTTTCAATGGAACCTCCTATGACAGTGGCTCTCAGACTTTCTGAATTCACAGAGCAGCAGAATTTACAAAACACCTTTTGAAGATTGACCTAGAGTTACCAACATTCAATTTTACCAAGTGAGGACATGAGGGAGAAGGAGATGGGAAACTCTACTACCATTATTTTATGAAAAGAAAGGCTATAGTAATATAAAACAGTAGGAAAGATATAATCTTAAAATTTAAATGAAGTAAAAGTAGCTTTGTGAAAAGTTACCCTTATTTTCTACATTTCATCTCTAATTGGTGAAATCTTTTATGTTATATTGGAATTGGCTGGTAGGTCTTTAGGAATTGATTAGGAAAACAGCAGTTCATATAATGCTAAGAGCATTATTATGTTAATTGCTTCATAAAGAAAGATCATTTACTTTAAAGGACACAGAAATACAGCTATATGAGTAGATTCATAAAGCACTGTGGTTAAAAGGAAGGGAAGTAAGTGGGTCTTTAGAATTTGAATGATTTTGGGGTCAATTAATCATCTTCCTGGAACCCCCATAGTGCTTTGTTTATCATGTTAGAACAGTAATCTCTCACCAACCTATGGTTTTGTCAACAATGGCTTGGGGGCAAATTTTTCTCAAATTTGCCAAAGGTTTCATATAGGCAGAATGCAATTCTATCCCCTTAAAACTGAGATTATGAGAAGAATTGTTGTTTTCTTCTCTTGTTTTCTATGAAGTTGTATTAATAGACCAGTCAATTTACGGTCTGCCCTCTTGTTACGTGGCTAGGAAATCATGCCCAGAATATTCAGCACAGTGATGATTTGTGCCCAGAGCGGGCAGTTGCACAAGGGTTTTTCTGAGACTTGAGAAAATAAAACCAAGAACAGAAGCATAAGAGAGATATTATATTTAAGCCGTTAAGGACTGTCTGAACACATTTAAAAGTACATGATACTTTGGAGACCCTTCTCAGCTCATAATGCATCAGCGATGTTTCCTGAATAACTGAATGTGATCACTGAAGCAGGTTTTGGCTTTTTGGTTTTGTGGAGCCGGGATGGGGGTGTTTGTTTTTTTGTTTTTGTTTTTGTTTTTAAGGCAGCTGGGAATCTAGGAAGATAGAGAGATAGAGGTTGGGTTTATCTTTCCTCCATTCCACTCTCAGCTCCAACTTCCACCTGCCCACCTTCCAGTTTCTGGGCAAACAGAGAAATGGGGTTTGGAATTTAGGGAAAGAAATTTATTATAAAGCTTGTTCCCTTTTTAGTTGGAAAAAAAATGGCCTGGCTACCAGATTAGTCTGACAACCATCCCACCATACAAGCTTCTGAGACACTTTGTGAAAGCACTCACAACACTTGTAGTAGGTGGATCACTGCCCCCTTATTAAATTATGCATTTCATGGTGAAAGGGAATATCCTTCTGGAACATGGCAAATATTTGGTAACTGGTCATTGAAAAAAATGAATGAATGAAAGTATTCTAGAAAATAAGTATGTAAATCAAATTATTTTATTTCAAATAGGCAGATATAATAATAAAGTAAATAATAGTAATACACTAATAATAATAAGTAAATAAGGATACTTTCAACATTATATTATAAAGCTGCCCGCTCCAACATTAATAAAAGTTCTCCAAATACCCCTCATAAATGTACTATTGTCTACTTTAGAAGAGGTTCTTTCTCTATTTATTTTTAAAATTATTTTAATCCTTAATGAGCACCTACTCTGGGCATGGCCAAGAATACAAATATAAATAAGAGAGGTTTTCAGTTCCTACCAAGATCAATCTGCAGGTTCTAAATGCAGAACCAGAATAATCAATGTGAAAAATGCTACAGTAGAACTAAAAACAATTTTGGTGAGTGAATAGTTCCATGCTACTTTTTGCAGCCCTTAAAAAAGGAGCATTTGTGACAACAGACATTGTCTGGTAGGAAGGGCATCCTGATGAACAATGGCACTTTGTAAAGCAAAAGTCAACATTTCGTTCATTGTAGAGTGTATTATTACTAAGAAATTCCTTTCTACAGTGCCATTTTGGATTACTCAGACAAGAGAAGAGTATATTACATCAGGCAGGTTTTTCACTCCTTTTTCCCCATTCTTAGGTCATCAGTTATCTTAAGCTGGTGCTTCATGATTGCTGTGCTATACAAGACTTTTCTTTTCTGATCTTAGCTTTCAAAAGGGTAAAGGCAATGAGTTCTTGAGTTCGAGGTGATGGGGTGAGATCCGCTCAATAGCCAGGATAAATGATCTAGTCTTCATTATAAATTTGAAGAGGGCATTAGCATTCCCAGGTGGTAATAGAGTCATAGGAAAAATAAATTAGCCTACCTCAATCCTCCCCAAACAGCCCTGAGCAGATTGCGTCATTAACCTTAAAATAAACAAAGCGATTTTGGTGACAAACTGGAAAAGTGACTTGAGCATTCCTGAATGCATTATGGGTTATAAGGGACAGAGCCTGCTGGAAAGCAGTTCTGCCAGTGAATTATTCCCATATGAGCGTATAAAGCATGTCAGAGGTGGCAGCTGAGTATAAATTTAGCCTTCCTGACACCTGCCTTAGGAGACCCTGACTAACCCTTCAGCGGAAGCTTGATGGGCAGCATGCCGTGGCTGGGCAGCGATTGTTTTTTGCTCTTTGCCTAAACCTGGGCAAAGTTAATGAGGAGCATCACGGGAAGGCTGAGGATAAATACCATCTTCAGCTGGCTACCAAGAGCGGGGTTACATGGTGGGGATTATCCACTGACTCATTTGATTTTCCCAAAAAGGGCACCTGCAGTACGAGTATGAAGTGGGATTGTAAACCTGGATCATTTTGATAGTCCCGTTGCGCTCCAAGGCCAGGACCAGCTGCTGGTGTTTTTCTTGGGCTTTGAGGAAAATGAGGCGTCGTAGGCAGTGCTCGTCCTCCTTCCAGTCTTTCCCCTCCGGCAACACCTTCATCTCCTGCCCACTGCCAAAGTCCCAGATTCTGACTGTTCCTGAGCATACAGAGAAAAAGACTATGTGGGTAAAAATGACTTAGAGAAAGCTTGGCTTTTCGCTCAGAGAAAATTCATCCGATCGAAAGCTTTCTGCCAACAATTTATCCTATATTTATTCCCTACTCAGATGGGTGAGTCTTCCCAGGCTTGCTGTGCATGAAATTTATTCCTTTATGCCTTGATTTGTCACAGGCTGAAAAAAATAAATAAATAAACAGGACCAGGCAACGCCTTGAAATCTACCCTCAGGCTCTCCTACTAAGCTTTTGCTCTAAAGTGAGTCTCTTCTGTTGTTATTCTCCCAACGCTTCTCAGTGTGCTAAACACCCAGTCCCGAACATGGGAATATTCGCTACCATGCCACGACTATTATTCACAGTGAAAGATCATTCCAGTAATCTGTCACATTTCCTAATGTGCTGACATGTTTTAGGACTTTAGCTCTTATTAGATAATAAAAAGTTGGAGGGAATCCCAGCCGGTAAGAAACTGCCAAGCTTGGAGTGGTTTTGTTGGTTACGTGGGAGGAAAGTGAAAGAAAAGTGTCGAGTGTTTTTCTTTTCTTTTCTTTTCTTTTTCTTTCTTTCTTTCTTTTTTTTTTTTTTAAGACAAGAGTCTCACTCTGTCACCCAGGCTGGAGTGCAGTGGCGATCTCGGCTCACTGCAAGCTCCGCCTCCTGGGTTCACACCATTCTCCTGCCTCAGCCTCCAGAGTAGCTGGGACTGCAGGCGCCCACCACCACACCCGGCTAATTTTTCTGTATTTCCAGTAGATACGAGGTTTCACCATGTTAGCCAGGATGGTCTCGATCTCCTGACCTCATGATCTGCCCTCCTCGGCCTCCCAAAGTGCTGGGATTACAGGCAGGAGCCACCGTGCCCGGCCAAGTGTTTTTCTTACACTTAAAATTATACTTTCTGTTTGAAACCTAAACCTCAACGTGATGGTGTTTGGAGATCATTAGGTCATGGGGGTAGAACCCTCATGAATGGGATTAGTGCCTTTATAAAAAAGGCCCCAAATTGAGATCTGCTGTGGCTCAGACAAAAAAAGAAAAGTAAGTAACAAAATGGGCCCCAAGGATCTGCCTTGCCCCTTTGTCATGTGAGAACACAATGAGAAGGCACCATCTATAAACCAGGAGGCGGGCCCTTGCCAGACACCAGATCTGCCAGCGCCTTGATCTCGAACTTCCCAGCCTCCGGAACTGAGAGAAATCAATTTCTGTTGTTGAAAAACCCCCAGTCCTCCTGCCCTGAGTGGTAAGGCATGTCAAATGGTCTGAGCCCAGGAGGTTTTCCTATCTCCCCTCAAGAGGTAGAGAAGAATTTGCTCAGCTTTTTCTCCCTTACAATAGGTCTTCATCTACAGTATCAGCAGGAGGGTTTGCTGCCCTTCCCTCAGTGGCTTAGGCTTTTGCTTTGTCGGTAAGACGGATGCTGGTGGGACTTTCTGTGGCTCCACAGTGTTGGCTGTTCCTCTCCCCAACATCTGCACCATGAGGGAGGCCAGCACTGTGTGACATGTGACGAGCTCTGTGAGGAGCATGGGAATGGACGCACAGTCCCTTTGTGTTTCTGGCTTTTAGAAGCGCTGTACTCTCATGCTATCCTACACTCAGATCTCAGCAATTCTTACAAATTTGACTACATTCTCACCCACCTGAATGCCAGCCCAATTTCCTTCTCATCACTGCCCTAGGTAAGACAGTAATTGTGTCCTGCCTTCCGCGGAAGTGCCTGTCTTTCCCAGGAAGTCTTTCCTTCCTGTGTCTTTCCTTCGATTTCAGGCTATTTGCCTGCAACATCGATTCTCGCATAGGTTCAAGAAAAGTTCTGATTTCATAGATCAGCTTGCTTTTTTTCTAGATGTCAGTATGGGCCCAACACTCTTTCCATCTTATTACATACCAAGGAGACACTGTCAGCTCCAATTCTGATAGTGCTTAAAGCATTTTAATTAATCTGATACACGACATTTGAGACCTCAACTAATGTACAAATTTAAAGATTTGTATCAGTGTTTCAGTGTTTGGCAAAATTTGTTAACTTTCTACATTATTTTGAACTTTGAAAAATAAAAAGAAACAGAAAGTTGCAAAAATAGTAGAGTCCTGTGTACCTTTTCCCAACTTCCCCCATTGCTTACAGCCCATGTGACTACGGTATAATCCTAAAACAAGCAAATTGACATTAGAAAATCCCATTAACTAGACTACAGACCTTGTCCAGATTTTACCAGTTTTTTACGTGCACTCGTGTGTGTATGCGTTTAGTTCTTCACAATTTTACCGTATGTATAAATTTGCACAACCAATATACAGAAATGTTCCATCAATCCACAGGAACTTCCTTGTGCTAACCTTCATAGTCACCACCACCCCCGCCGTCACTATTTGGTAATCACTAAGCTGTTCTGTTTTACTTATCTAAAAGTTTGTCATTTTGAAGACATCTTACTTTGTTATTTTAAGAATGTTATTGGCTGGGTGCGGTGGCTCACGCCTGTAATCCCAGCACTTTGGGATGCCAAAGCGGGCAGATCATTTGAGGTCAGGAGTTCCGAGACCAGCCTGGGCAACATAGCAAAACCCTGTCTCTACTAAAAATACAAAAATTAGCTGGGCATGGTGGCAGGCATCTGTAGTCCCAGCTACTCAGAAGGCTGAGGCAGGAGAATCACTTGAACCCAGGAGGCGGAGGTTGCAGTGAGCCGAGACCCTGCGCCCCTGCACTCCAGCCTGGGTGACAAAGCAAGACTCCATCACAAAAAAAAAAAAAAGAACTGAAATGGAATACGTGACCTTTTAAGATTGGCTTTTGTCTTTTGTTAGTGCCTTTCAGATTCATTCAAACTGATGCAAATATAACTAGCTTGTTTCTTTGTATTACTTGTAATAACTACAGTATTCCACTGTATTGTTCTACTGCAGTTTGTCTAACCAGTCATCTGTTGAAAATTTTTTTTTTTTCAGTTTTTGGTTATTATCAATAAATCTGCTATAAACTTTTTTTTTTAAAACACCACCCACTCTATGGTATTCCGTTGTAGCAGCTCAAATGGATGGAGACACTTTCTTTATTGTTAACTTCATTCATTTGCTTTGGGGGACCTGGAAGAAGGGGCCAGAGGGATGATAAACAGTACAGTTGTGGAATGCCTATTTCTAGGTCATTGCTCAGAGTAGAGAATTCTCTTCTCACATGAGCTTTTATAGTGGTCACCTCAGATTCAGACTCCAGTGAACCACAGGTCTTTTCCTCTCCTCCTTTAACCCTACCCCATTTCTTATCCCTCAGCTCGAATCCTGCTCGACACCCAGAGTGTTTTCACTGCACTATTTTCCTTCCCCTACACCAGGTTCTCCCCATCAGCAACACTCACACCCCCAGTATTTGTTGGAACATCATTAAACATTGATTAAATACTCCCTATATACCCAGCACTGTGGTAGGAGCTGGGGATATTTAATGAATAATCATAGTGCCTACCCTCAAGGACTCTGTGGCATTATAGGAAAACAGTCACACAAACAATTAAAAGACATTATCGTGTTCTCATACATTGCTGGGTTATGCAGAGGACAATCTCCTTGTCCAGATTTCCTGCTACCTTGGGACTTGGGCAGTCAGATTTAGTGGAGCTGAGAGCAGAGAGACGTACTCCTCAGCTTTTCCCAGGTGATGGGTGGGTAGTAATGCGAGGAGACCAGTGGCTTGTGGTTTGAACTTCTCTGGGAGTCAGAATCTCACTTCCCAGGGTGTCCTGGATCTCTGTCAATTTAACAGAGAGGGCTTGGCACAGTGGCTCACTCCTGTAATCCCAGCAACTCGGGAGGCCAAGGAGGGAGGATCACTTGAAGCCAGGACTTTAAGACCAGCCTGGGCAACACAGTGAGACTCTGACTCCAAATAAATAAACACAATAAAATAAATTTAACGTATGTACCTTTGAGGAGGACAAACTCAATATCTGAAAGAATTCTAGGTTCTAGAACTAACAATGTAAAATATGGCTTGCTTGCATATAAACAATACTATTGTCAGTCATATATTGAATTGCTTAATGCTTCTGCCTGATAATAATTGTGTACATTGCTCAGAATCTCAACAACCACATTTCATGTCTATGCAGGGTGTGCTTATGGAACAGTTAAGACTGCTTTCTCAAGAACCGATCCACGTGAAGGGCAGTTGCATTTATTCATACCCCATCAACTCAGCATTCATGATTTTATTTCACGTGCTGTTGTCATCTGCTCACACTTTTAAAAGTGAGACTTTCACACATCAGGATGCTCACTCGAGTCATCAACTGGCTTATGCGTATAGGCCTAGGGTAAATATATTCAGAGTAGCTCATGCAATCGGTCATATGGTCTAGATAAAGCAGTTCTTTCATTTAGTATGTCGTGAGTGGGGTGAAAGGCAGGGCAGTCTGTAGCTCTTCAGTTCCTGGAAGTCCTACCAGTGCTCCATAGCGTAAGGCACACCAAACGGCCTAGCCCAACCTGGGCCTGGCATCCTCTCAAGTTTGGCATGGAACATGCCCTCACGAAGGCTAGACATATGAACAATGCCAATATAGAATTCCAATATAGGAGTAATGTGACAAAGTTGGCTGGATGTTTTGTCTGGTCCAGAAATCTACTGTCGGTAAAATTATTGTTAGCAAGCACTGAATCTGATGTCTGTCTCTTGGCTGATGGTACCCAAAAGTGGAAAGATAGGATGAGTCAGTGCAACACAGATTAGATGAGATGTCATATGCAAAAGACTTCTGCAAACTGTTAAAGCAACTATGTAAATGCAATGTGAGGAATTATTTTTAACATCATATCAAGACATTGATGCCTGTTAGATAAGGGACTCTACCACTATTCACCCAGGCACAGGAATTTCACTGGCACCCAGACATAGTCCAGCCTGCTTCATGCTCTCCTTCTACCCTAAAGAACGAAAGAGTTTTTGGCGGAAATTCTCAGGACACTAAAGCAGGGACGCCACATTCTGGATGTTAGTCTGACCATTATACGCTCCTGTGGCAAAAAGAAATCCACTTTCATCGACAGCTGCAGAAGTCACTTCAGTATTGAAACCATGAGGTTCTAAAATCTGGTATACTTGGAGCCCAGTCTCGAGTTCCCATACCTATGGGAAAGAACGAAAATATCAAGTAATCCGTTTGAAGAAGCCCTTCAATTCTCATCAGAATTACACCATATTCAAAACAGCCTCAAAAATGGAACTCTGTACATCTAACACATTTCCTAGCGCTCTGCCCTGAATGTTGGTTTTATCAAAGAAAGTTCTAAAAGATAAAGTGCATTTAATAGTTACTGTGTCTGCTGCAAATGTAGGGGCTGAGACAGGCAGGGACTCTATTCCAGGCAGCCCCTGGCCATGGAAGAAGTGGTCAGTTGGTACTGTAAGCCTGAAGCAAGGTTAGAAATGGAACAATTGCAAGCTCAGCAGACAAAAGAAATATGAACTGGATTTATTCCCTGGTGACACTCATCCTAGTTATCCAGGGATCATGGGACAGGATCTGTGGTTAATAGCATGGGACCTGAGAGAAGAACCCTGAGGAAAGAGCTCACCGACCTTTCCTAGGAATGTTCTGACTAGAGACATGGGCCCAGTGAGAGAGAGAATGGGAGGGAGAGACACATACACAAAGAGAAAGAGAGAGACAGAGAGAAAGAGACTGACCTCAGAGGAGGCCATCTGTGTAATTAGGATGGGTGTAATCAGAAATTCTAGAGACATGTCAAGACTCAAGAGTCATCATTATCTCTCTCTGGAAACACAGTAGAGGCCTTAGACCTGCAGATTTTCTGTCTAAGTCTCTCCTTCATGGAGTTGCCATGTTCAGATGTAAATTGCACTGCCAGTTAGTGACAGCACTGAACTGGCAACACAGAATGATTGCACTCTAGGTATTGTGGCGGAGAGGACAGCATATGCAAAGTGCCAGGGGTGAGAAAGTTCATCTTTCCTCCAGGAAATGGAAAGCAAGCCACTTTAGCTGGGTAAGAGGGGGAGTGCGGAGGGGATGGAGCTGATGAGATAGTCTGGGGGCCTGATAATGAAGGGCCACTTGCCGGGAAGTGGTAGAGCTGGGATTTGAGTGAAGTCAGTCTGGCCCTAGAGTCCGTACTTTTAACCTCTGCGTGTCCCTGATTATAGACAGGGTTCTTAAGGGAGAAAGAGAAATGTGGGTCATTGCATGAATGGGTCTCAGGGGTCACCCATCTCCTGGCCTGCAGTGTGATCCCTCTCCAACCAACCTGGCATGAAAACTCACCTTCATGTGGTCCTCCCACTCTTTTTTCCCACACAGGGATGACATTTTCCCCATAAGAGGTGACTGCACAAAATACTGATTGCACAAAAGCAGGACAGGTTTCAGCTTTCGTTTTCCTCTACCTCTCTCTTTAGGCATTACCAGAAATGCACTAATACAATGAACTCAGGAGATTCTCACTTGAGAAAATCTCCAGCAAACGATCACAGAAGTCAGAGACTGAGAGGTAATTTGAAGGGTCCCCAGAGGAATGCTGTCTGCTAGTCCACACGTCTCCTTTTGGAGGGCATGCATGAAATGAAAGGACCAACACCTGAAGCAAACACCTCCAGCCATCACTGCCGGATGACTTCAGTGGCCGTAATGATGGACACGGTTAGCATGGCCAGGACCCCTGGCCTCTAGGAAATGCTGTGATGGCCGTGTTATGGGAAAGGGGTCCTGATCCAGACTCCCAAGAGAGGGTTCTTGGATCTCACACAAGAAAGAATTCAAGGCAAGTCCACAGAGTAAAGCGAAAGCAAGTTTATGAAGAAAGGAAAGGAACAAAGAATGGCTACTCCATAAACAACCCCTTAGGGCTGCTGGTTGCCCATTTTTATGGTTACTTCTTGATGACATGCTAAACAAGGGGTGAATTATTCATGCCTCCCCTATTTAGACAATGTAGGGTAACTTCCCGACGTTGCCATGACATTTGTAAACTGTCATGGTGCTGGTGGGAGTGTAGCAGTGAGGATGACCAGAGGTCACTCTCGTCGCCATCTTGGTTTTGGTGGGTTTTGGCTGGCTTCTTTACTGCAACTCGTTTTATCAGCAAGGTCTTTATGACCTGTATCTTGTGCCAACCTCCTGTCTCACTCTGTGACTTAGAATGCCTAACCATCTGGGAATGCAGCCCAGTAGCTCTCAGCCTCATTTTACCCAGCCTCATTCAAGATGGAGTTGCTGTGGTTCAAATGCCTCTGGCAGCTGGGCTGGAGGAAATGCAGCAGAAAGGGCATGGGTGCTTACATCAGAAAAACTTGGGTTCATATTCCAGCCGTCATGCTTATGCCAGCTATGTTGCTTGATCTCTCTAAGCCCTGATTTCCTCATCTTTAAAATAAAAACTCTTTATCTGTTCACAGAGAACTGTTGTGAAGATTAAAGCAGATCACAGAGACTTAAAGCTCTTGGTACGTATTCTGAATCTACAGGGGTTACAGTAAACACCTATAAATTTATTCCCCTTCCTTCTTAACATAAATCCTCTTCCCGTACTCCTTTAAAAAAATCAAAATGCAGACTAGTTCTGTCTTCTTGATATATTTCCTTTAAAATTCCTATTTTGATTGTGAAAACTAGCTGTGTTTATTCAATTGAGCATGTGGGTTGATGGCAAGCAGTCTGAACTGGCTTAATTAAAACGCTTGTTTTTCACGTACTCATGGAAGCTTAAAAATCATTCTAATGTATGGTCTCATCGTATGTGCCGCTACATTTGCTTAATCACTCAATGATTTATTTTAAGAACAGAAAATTATATCTGCATTGCCTTTTTTTCTGTTTGAAAAGCCAATAGGTACTTACCCTAATTATGGATTCAGAGCAGATAGTGAGTACTTGATGAAAATATTTGTTGTAAAGCATGACATTGATTTCTCGTTCATGAGTGTGAGGAACCTGTTTTGTATCTTGTATCATCCTAGTCAAAGGATACATGTCCATAACACTAGATCCTGGAACAGAAGTAAGAATCTCATAAATATGCAATATTAGAAGTTTCTAATCACAAAGGGTTTCAGCCAAGCAGTTGGGTTTGGAAACAGCCAAACAGTGAGATTAGCAATATCAATCAATGCCTAGGAAATGTAATGAGGTGAGAATATTTTCATTTATTCTAGAACATTTTTGACAGATAAAGCACATACGATTCAGCCACAGAAAAGCATTCATTTTGGACTGGATTATTTTTCAAGTGCAGGCCATTTGGACTTCATTGATATCCTTTTTAGTGAACCTCATTTTCCTATATTTCATAGTCCACTTCTCTCTTTTATTGTGCCTGCAGCATGCCTCTCCATCTGTTGCACAGCAATAGTGGTGATGACCAGCTTTCTGCTGAAGGTTAGCCTCCTCTTAGTGGTGGAAATTTATTGTTAGAGAGCCCCTTTCAACCAATAAATTGATAAAGCACTCTGTAAACATGGTCTTATTAAATGTAACAAATGAGAATGATCACAAGCCAGTGCTTGCAACATCAATATAAAAATAAGATTAATTTCTAAATCACCACTGTAAAGTAGAAGTAGATGAGGAGCAGGTATGCTTTACTTGCATTTTTCTAAGTATGATATAAGTATCAAAATTAACTGCAGCTCTGTTTTAGTGTAATGTCTAGAAATATTAATAAGAATCTCAATTAGCCGGGCATGGTGGTGGGTGCCTGTAATCCCAGCTACTCGAGAGGCTGAGGCAGGAGAATCACTTGAACCCCGGAGGGAGGTTGCAGTGAGCCGAGGTCATGCCATTGCACTCTAGCCTGGGCGACAGAGCGAGACTCCTTCTCAAAAAAATAAAAATTAAGATTAAAAAAAAAAAAAGAATCTCAGAGCATTCCTGTGGCTCAAGCAAAACTGAAATTTCTTCCTGATTTTATCGATGTAAAGATTAAGTTAATAAGGCAGATTTTGCATTGAGTTTCTCAAGTTTCTCCAAAGAATTCTCAACTTTAGGAGAAGTTTCTACAGGAGTTACTAAACACTCTCTGAAGTGTTTAAATTTTAAGATAAAACCTGTTCATGTGTAAATACGGACTGAGATGGCTCATCTGGTTGTATTTCTCAGTTCAGATACCTTAACATGGAAATGTGAGCAGAATATGGTAACCAGATAGTCAAATCATACTTGGACCTTTTGGTAGATCCTTTTCATTACAGTGACAGTAACTGACTTCATTCAGAATGGACGTCAACAAATCTTGATATGCTTATGGAAAACTGGCAATCTTCTACTTTTTGGCTAGTTACACTGCTGCTATAGAAATGATGCAGTGCTGAGAAAGAATGTGGAGTCCAGAGTTAGAAGCTCTGATATTGAATCTCAGTTCTATGTTTTAACCTTGTGTCCTGCCACTAGTCAGCTGGGCTGTTTGAGATTCAGTTTCTCCATTTATAAAATAGAAAAAATAATTACTACCTCATATGGTGGCTGTGCAGATCAAATGAAAAAAATAGATGATTGTAATGGTAGTTGTCTTAATAAAAGTAATAATGATAACAACAGTGACAGCAGCAACAAAATACAAAGCATTTCTAGAACGTGGTGCTACTGTCATTGGGATTTAGAGGACTGATGGTTGCTTCATTTGAATCAAAGAATGAATTAAAATCCTAGACATAAGCTTCATGTAATTCTGATGTCAAGTTCATGGTTGCAGTAAGTGTCTGCAGTTTTGGTGATTGAACAATACACAGAGCTTTATATTTTTGCAAACAGAGGTGCTATCAGAATGATACAAAATTGGGAAGAAATCTTGATTTTTCTGTCTTCTTTTTCTTTTTCTTCTTTGCCTTACTATTTGAGTCCTTAGTGACTATGATGATAAATGGGATGGAAATGCTAAGCCTAGTAATCAAATATGCAAATTGGGGCACTGAGAGAAAATTTGCTTATAGTCATTATTATGTTCCTTTTAGAGGAGGTAAAACAGAGAATAGGTGTTTACAACTAAAACTAAGTCCTGTTTTATAATGTGGAAAGTTCTTTATCAAGTATGAAGTGCTAGTTCACTCCTAATCCAGGAAATAAAAACACTGAATGTCAAAAATAATTACATTCTCCACCAGCAGAGATAGCACCAACCTCTTCCCTGCCTTAATTAATCCCACAGGAACTCAGAGCAGCTGGCCAGTGGGAAAATGCTTAGGAAATTCACTCATTTTGGCTTCTAGAAGGAGGACCTACTATTAATATAATGCATTTTTATCCTGAAGCCTAAAGGTATGCATATAAAAAGTGCTCAACCTAGATGTCTAGCAGGGCCCCTTGTTTCTTTAGTAGGCATGTCTTTCTAAGAGGCCACAAGAAAAATCAGCAACAAATCTGTTGGCATCAGCACTGGGACTCTATCCTCACTCTCCATTGGTCTTCGTCGAGAGGCAAAGGCTGGTGAAGGTGTCAGCACTTTTCCTACTGAGTAGTGACTCGTTATCAGAATGGCATGGGCCCAAATTTCCTCACTGCAGAAAAGGGGCATTGACTCGGTACGCTGGTGCAGCCGCTGTAAAATAGGATCATATTCCTGCTCCAGAGTCAAAACAGAGCTGTGTGTGGGAGCTGGATTTGCCCTATACATAGCAACAAGTTACATACATCCCACTTCTTTGCTTAGCCCAGGCATTTCTTCCTAGGTCCAAGAACTTAAAGCAATAACCTGGTGTTTTCAGATTATTAAAACTATCCTTTCAGGGAGGAATGATAACTATAGAATTACTCAAATAGAACTTTCTTCCTAGGTTCAAGAACTTAAAGCAATAACCAACCTGGTATTTTCAGAAAAGTGCAGTTACACATTTCAATCATCCAGCCACAGAAATATATAGGAAAGAGCAGAATTGAATTAAATATCTACTGTCACGAATCATGGTTTGATAAATTACCCTTCTAGTTTTGTTTTCCTTGTAGTTAGTGCTCAAGTGCTAGTTTAAAAAAAGGTTAAAAATCAAGACATGAGTTTCGTTTGACATTAATTGGGTACACTTACCCGTAATAAGCATGCCATGATTGGCATCATATATCATAGAGTAAATCTGCATGTCTCCTGGTCCTCCCTGGCTGTCATGGAAGACTTGTAATAGTGAAAGAGTTTGTATATCCCACACCCGGAAAACCTGGAAGAATAACAAACACAGTTTACCACTATTTATACTCACCTTTCTCACCCAAGATATTTAGGTGAAGCATTTTCAGTTTGAAATACACTCTTATAAACTTATACCAAAGTATTACTTATATGATAAGCATGCATTTGCTAAGCTCCAATTTAGTTCTGGGTTGGATTATTGTTCATTAATATCAGAGGAAAATAGCAGCAGTGATTACTTTGCTTAAAGGTATACCTTTAGGAATTGGATTTTTTCTATCATTATAGGGAAGGAACATAGTATTTATTACTCTTTAAGAATGTGGAGGAATAATAAAAGATCATGACTTACTGTTGAATTAAAGTCACATTTCTCTTTGTATTATGGATGAGAAAATAGGGAGAAGACATATTTTACGTGGAAGCTTTCAAATTGCTCTCTTATGACGATGGGAACATCTTACTAAGTGAAGTTACTAAAAACCTCCCTCTCCATTTGCCCAGATATGTAAGAATTATAAAAGCAGTTTTTAGGGATGGTATAGACACACTAGGAGTATGAGAATATAGGTTTTTCAAACTATCCTTTGAGGGAGGAAAGATAACTATATAATTACTCAAATAGAACTTAAGTTGATATCAGAGAATAGAAAGAACAATGAAGTACAAATTCTGCAAAACTAGGTTAAGTCTGTGATCTGAAAGAACTGGTCTTAGCCTCTTCACTATTCTGCTTTTTTAGTAGGTTAGTGGTGTTATTGAATTTCAGAAATAAGTGTTGATTGATCAATAATTACATTTCTTCAGTTGTAGAAGCTGGGGGGAAATTACATTTTCTAGCTCTACGTCAGCCCTTAAATAATATTTTCATGTTATAGTAAATTTATTAACCTATTAATTTGGAGTATTTGTTGAGTAAATGGGTGACCATTAACAGAACTACATGTAAAACTTCAGTAAGTAGTTTAGTTAAGAGAGCTACTAACTTCTAATTTGAGGCACTTATAATTGAGTTCATTATAAGTTAATTAGGTTCAAATCTTCACTATTGCTAAGGCAAGTTAGTCCTCATATGTAAGAACACAAAGTTGTCTGGGTCCCGTGACTTGGAGAACATTGGTGAGGAGCTTTTGCTCAAATGTAAACCCTCTGTAGGCTAGTATTATCAGAACTTGTACCATTGAAATTTATTTTCTTTGTTCTAGTGAAAATGCCAATTTTGGAGGAGTAGATAGAACATTGAGCCTTTTCAGCCTTTTGTATCATAAAGTAAACAAGTATAATGGATTATATGAATTTCAATCCAGAGCATAGAATGAGAGACAAGTAGAGGAAGAGACACAAAAGTGGATTCAAGGAATTCACCAAAAAATGTGTTTCTATGCAAACTGTTTTTTATTTTATTGCCTTGGCTAAGGTATGTTCATGGTGGGCAGTCTTTCTGCTGTATGTATATACACTCTGAATTGTAACTGACAAAAAGAACAAGAGACTAGGCAAAGGAGGATTAGGGTTTCAATTCTAGTTCATCACTTAAACTCCTTGAGTCTCAGTTTTCTTGTTTCTTGAATGGCCATGATGACATCAGCACCATTCACCTTATTTAATTGATGTGATTATGTTTTGAAATCTGTGATGTTCTCTATAGAGTTATTATGTTTGCTTTTGCCTTCTTTCTCTTCTTCATTGTGCAGTTCTTCGGGTCTTTCCTGTATGTTTTAGAGAAGTGGCAGTTGCTGGGCTGTGGGAGGCACAAAAACCTTCTGCGTCATACTGCTCCTACCCTCTAGGGTTTTTTGCTGCCCCTCTCCCTATATGCCTTCTTTGCTACTGTCATACCGAAGTGTTTTGCATTTCCAAAAACCTTCTTATTCTGGTCTCTGTGCATTCACACAAACTCTTCCTTTCATCTGCAATTTCCTCTCAAAGGCCTTCTCTATCTAGCTAACTCCTACTCTTTTTTTTTTTTTTTTTTAAACTCTTCCATAAAGAGAACTAAAGAGTTCAGGTCAGAATAGTGCTAAAAGTTTTTGCTTTGATGAACTATTTCTTCTCCAAACACACAGAAAATATATCTTCAAAAAAGCAAAAAGAAACAGCAGGGCTCCAAAGCAAGATATATATCTCCCTAGATCCAAACAAGAGAGAAGCATAAAGCAATGAATGGGCTGAAGCCTGAGACCTGGGTGCTTGGTCTGGAGCAGGCAGTGGCAGCAGAGCAGCTTCTGCAGACAGACAGGACCAGAAGACCTCCATGCCTGGGCTCCACAGCAGAGGTAGCAGCATGTCCTCCAATTCAGAAAAGCAACAGGCTGTGCTCTGTCCTTATGTGGATGTGTAGCTTTTTCAAAGATATGAGACCAGTGAGGGTAGGGCACATCACTTTTTGACCAGGAACTAAAGCAAGGTAACCTCTGGCTCAGGGACGAGAACTATTTCTGAACTGGGACCTGAAGAACCAGGTAGAGGAAAGTGTAGATTGGAAGGAGTGAGCATATAGACACACACACACACACACACACACACACACACACAGAGAGAGAGAGAGAGAGAGAGAGAGAGAGAGATAGAAAGAGAAGGACAGGCTGGGAGCAGTGGCTCACCGAGGCAGGCGGATCACTTGAGGTCAGGAGTTGGAGACCAGCCTGGCCAACATGGTAAAACTCTGTTTCTACTAAAAATACAAAAATTAGTCGAGCATGATGGTGCACGCCTGTAATCCCAGCTACTCAGGAGGCTGAGACAGGAGAATCGCTTGAACCCAGGAGGTGGAAGTTGCAGTGAGCCAAGATCGCACTACAGCACTCTAGCCTGGATGACAAAGCGAGATTCCGTATCAAAAAAAAAAAAAAAAAAAGAGAGAGAGAGAGAGAGACAGAGAACTAAATATTAAAAGGAGACTATACTTTTTAGAAAAATATAGGAGAGGAGGGTATCTTCAAGAACTTCGGAGTTGGAAGAGATTTCTTAAATAAGCACAAAAAGCATAAGCCATAAAAACTTTAAAAATTAAAATTAAAAACTTCCGTTCAACCAAAGCAACAACACAAAGACACAAAGTGTAGAAACTACTCAAATGTTCATTGGCCAAGTTAGACAAATAATATGCGCTGCGTTCATACAACAGGATTCCATCAGCATTTAAAACAAATGAACTAGAGCTATATGTAACAACATGAATAAATATCAAAACAGAGTGTTGAGGGAAAAACTGCAGTGGGGTATATTCATTGTAATATTTACACTATAAATATTATATAAAACATGCAAAATAAAACTATATCAGGGACACTTGCACTAATGCTGTAAAAACATGGTGCTGGTTAAAAATTAACAAAAACTCAAAAAAATTAATCTTTAAACAACTTTCGTTGCACTCCCTTCCAATTAGATGCTCTTTCTCTAGATGCCCATGATATAGACATGTGCTGCTTAAGGACAGGGGTATGTTCTGAGAAATGTGTCCTTAGGTGATTTTGTCATTGTGTGAACATCATAGAGTATACTTACACAAACCTAGCTGGTATAGCTTACCATACACCTAGGCTATATGGTATAGTTATATGATCACCATCATATATGCAGTCCATCGTTGACAGAAACGTGGTTATGCAGCATATGACAGTATCTGTCTATATTAATAGCAATTAGCAATTATAATATGATGACTCATTCGGTGGCCTTCTCTACTAGACTATAACTCTCGGGGGAAGAACCACAGCCTATTTGACTCTTTTTTTTCCCAATGTCTTATGTATTCTGTTTAGCTTGATTGGTTAGTCAGTTTTTGGTCATATTCTCTGTCTTGGTCAAATAGGAATTTATATGGCTTCGCATTGTACAGACAATACATTTTAAATTTAATAAATCAATTAATAAATAGGACAGCCTCAGAAAACTAATCTATTTACTTTATTCTTAGGTGTTCACAATATATTAGTTGCTTTGGGGAAAGACAGTAGTGATATTTGTGAAGCCCAAATATCTGAGAGAGGTTAATTCAGAAAGTTTATTTTGCCAAGGTTGAGGACACACGCCCATGACATAGCCTCACTCAGGGGGTCCTCACGACATGTACCCAAGGTGGTCGGGGCACAGCTTGGTTTTATACATTTTAGGGAGACATGAGATATCAATTAATATATGTAAGATGTACATTGGTTAAGTCCGGAAAGGCAGGACAGCTCAAGCAGGAAGGAGGCTTCCAGGACACAGGTAGGTAAGAGACACAGGTTGCATTCTTTTAAGTTTCTGATGAGCCTTTCCTGGGAGGGCAATCAGATATGCATTTATCTCAGTGAGCAGAGGGATGACTTTGCATAGAATGGGAGGCAAGTTTGCCCTAAGCAGTTCCCAGATTGACTTTTCCCTTTAGCTTAGTGATTTTCAGCCCCCCAAGGCTTACTTTCCCTTCACGTATTAATTAAGCTCTAGTCTTCTTTCACTTATTCCCCTAGAGGTTGTCAGTGTTCTTATGACAGGTATTAGTGATGCAAAGCTTGGGAGGACAGAAGTGGAGCCAGGTCAGCACTGAGGGGGTTTAGGAAGAAAACAAAGGGCAGAACATGGCAGAAGCAGACTAAGTTGGTATAAAAGGAGACTGAGTGGCTTTACGACAGAGATATGTTGTTAAGACTTGTAGAGAAAATCAAGGAGGACAGGTGGCTTCTACTAAAGAGGCCAGGGCAGAATGGAACATTCATAAGTTATAAATTAAATATTATATACATATATGTATATAAGTAATAAATTAAATATTATATTCATATAATATGTGCATATATGTATATATGCATTATGTATAATATATGAATTATATGCATATAAACTGAAATTATTTTAAAAATTTATCTTCTAGTAGCAGTAAAAATAATAATGATGATTCTCTTCTCTTCTCTTTTCTTTTCTTTTTTTTGAGACAGAGTTTTGCTCTTGTCGCCCAGGCTGGAGTGCAATGGCATGATCTCGGCTCACTGCAACCTCCATCTCCCGGGTTCAAGCAATTCTCCAGCCTGAGCTTCCCGAGTAGCTGGTATTACAGGCACCTGCCACCACACCCAGCTAATTTTTGTAGTTTTAGTAGAGACGAGGTTTCACCATGTTGGCCAGGCTAGTCTTAAACTCCTGACTTCAGGTGATCCATCCACCTTGGCCCCCCAAAGTGCTGGGATTACAGGTGTGAGCCACCGTGCCTGGCCAATAATGATTTTCAGATAAATTGGGAATGGAGTGAGATGGAGGGATTTTTTTAACAATGGGAAAAACATTCAACTATAAGGTTGATTAAGTGTTTTGAGGGTAATTTGTAATTGAAGTCACTTATCACAAAATATCAAAGAAAAGGACAAGAGAAAGACTTCTGGAGCCTTTTGTAAGAATTAATAAATAATGATGAAGTAGAAGAAGTTTGAAAATATATACATGTGTGTACCCGAAGTGAGGGTTGTTTTGATTCAACTGTATTTCCCGGCATTTCTTCCTGCAAACTTTATGCCAATTATTATTGTCCAAATGTATTAATAAAGTATCTGGGTTTTGTTTTTTGTTTTTTTGTTTTTTTGGTTTTTTTTTTGACAGAGTTTCACTCTTGTTGCCCAGGCTGGAGTGCAATGGCACCATTTCAGCTCACTGCAACCTCTGCCTCTCAGGTTCAAGTGATTCTCCTGCCTCAGCCTCCCAAGTAGCTGGGATTACAGGAGCCCGCCACCACGCCTGGCTAATTTTTGTATTTTTAGTAGAGACGGGGTTTCACCATGTTGGCCAGGCTGGTCTCAAACTCCTGACTTCAAGTTATCCACCCACCTCAGCCTCCCAAAGTGTTGGGATTACAGGTGTGAGCCACTGCGCCCAGCCAGGTATCTGTTTTTTGATGGGTGTTTATTATAGAGTGACTAGAGCAGAATGTCTGATTTATAAGAAGATACAACATTAACAAGCCATACAAAATTCATTATACATCAAATAATTACAAAATTCTAGCCTAGGTGTTACAGATACAAAGATTAATAGAAGCCCTGTTGTTCTTGAGTAGATCTAAGTCTTGCCAGGAGAGTAGATAGATGACAAATAGATAGATAGATAGATAGATACTGCATTGTAAGAAACACTTGAATAGAAGTTTGAGCATTATTCCATAATGAAAATTGTACCAGTAGAAATCTTTAGAATTAGAATCACAGTATCATTTAGATAGAGCAAGGGGTCTGGGGAATTCACCATTTTCTGATTGTAAAGGAAAGTCAGAATTTGGCCTGCCTTTCTAATTTTACCCAACGGCTACAAGAGGCTAATGAGATTTTTAGTCCCCAAATAAATCAAATCAGGGTCACTCAATTGATTACATGATTTTACCTTAAGGAGCCTGAAGATATATGAGATTATGAAACTCTTTTGAGTGTTAACATAGTACTACATACAAATGGTACATTTGAAAATCAGGGTATGTATGACAGTATGACAGTACAGTATAAATGGCAGGCACTCAACACTGTTTAGGAAATTCAATGCTAAATGTATTTATTAAGTTCTTACACATTACTTAATAAGAAAAAATATTTTTAGCACTGTATGTAGAACTAAACCTATTAATTTTATCATCTTGTTTTCACATTTTTCCTGTGTGATAACTGGCAAATAGAAAATGAAGACATCCAGCATGTCTTTAAAAATTAACTTTTTAATTACCAAACTAATGTACCTAGTACACAGATTCAAACAGTACAAAAACGAAAGTCCTCCTCCCCACCTACCACTTAACTCTGGACTCCTCAGTCCCACTCCTTAGGTAATAATTGTTGGAAGATACCACCTCAGGAGGCAGACTATCTCAGTTGAATCCTGATTCACGTCCAATAACTGTGTGCACTTGGGCAAATCTCTTGACTTCTCTGAGCCTTAGTTATCACACTTGTAGTTATCACACAGTACCTATCTCAACCTATCTCATAGGGTCGTTATGAACGTTAAATGAGTTCATACATATAAAGAGCTTACATCTATGTTAGGACATATTTATGTACTTAGATTTATCTCATTTTTTTTTTTTTAAGAGACGAGGTATCTCTATGTTGCCCAGGTTGGTCTTGAACTCCTGAGCTCAAGTGATCCTCCCGCTTCAGCCTCCTGCATAGCTGGGACTGCAGGCATGCACCACTGTACCTGGCTTTGTCTCATTTTTTAATGGCTGAATAGTATTCTGTTTGTGAATGCTCCATAATTTATTGTAATTAGTTCCCTGTTCATATGTATTATATTTCTTTATTTTCTTTTATTAAAGCAGTAGTGAACCTCTTTGCACATATATTTTTGTAAAGTACACTGGCTTTGTAAAGCAATATAGATATAACTGAATGATAAATTCCTACAAATAGAATGTTTGTGTCAAAGGTTGTGAATATTTTGAGTTTTGAGAGATATACCAGATCAACCTTGCCTTTTGAGAAGATTACAGGCAGTTTGATAACTTCCTGATTTCAAGTTGCACAATCAAGTTCAATTTTCCCAGTCCAATTTACCAGGAAAATTGAACTTGATGTCTATGTCATTCCTAGGTTTGGTCATCAAAGATTTGGGGCAGCTATGCTTTATTTACTCAACTAGATTTTTAGCTTCTTTTTGACAAAGATTACATCAAAATATAAATAGGCACAGAGCCTAATGCACTCTCAAGCATTTAGCAGGGGGTCATATATTGGTTGACATATTAATGCAGTAGAAAGTTGGGATTCCTAGTTGTACAGCCCTGAGACACAGTTTACCAGCCAAGAAACAATGCAAGGGAACCACATTTTGTGAGAGATAAAAGGTTAATGTCAATAGAATACCCAGATAGTTACCTTAGGGAGGCTGTAGTGAATATGTGTATGTGTGTGTGCAAGGGGTCTGAAAGCTGGTAGAGGTGTCTAGAGAAAGTCTAGAGGATAAAATAAAGACACTCAGAAACGCAATAAAAATTACAAAGGAAAGAGTCCCAAAGGGCAACAATCACAAACAGCCTGCCTCATCTTAAGCAAATGTGCAATCATAGCTAAGAGCTCCTGGTTATAGAAGTGTGATAGCCACACTCAGAAGGAAGCCTTATATAGGGACTGCTTCCTGGTCTTGGTAGGCATGTTTGCTCCCAGGACTCAGAGCTATCCACAGGGTCTTCCTTTGAAGGTTGTCAAGGAGCTGTCCTGGGTGATGAACTAAAGAAAAAGCAACAAGACCTGCACATAAGCAAAAAGTATTGCAAGTTGAGAACTGAATTCCAAAGCATGTGCCCTCACCCCTTTTTTCTTAGTTTTTATTTTTTCTTCCTAGATGGCCACTCACATTTTATGTTTTATAATACATAGTATATTTGTCTTCCCCAGAAAATTTTCCTACAGTCACTCAGGAAAGTTTTGAAACAAGTCTTACTCTTAAGAATGTTGCAAACAGTTTACTCAAAAGGGAATGTTCCAAGCCACAGAATGAGGACAAAAGGTAGTAAAATATGAAGGCAGTGAAACCAGGTTCTCAATCATGGATGTTTCCAATTATCAAAGAAACAAGAAAAGTATTTGAACTTGCATCATTTATGATAATCCCATACAAACAGAAAGCACAAGGAACTAAAGCAAGGAAAGATTTCAAATTTTTAAAACTTGAAGGTAACATTTTAAAAGGTTAGTTTTTCTATCTCCAGGTTTATTTCAAATTTACACATTTCTCACTCACCAAAAGGAAAAAAAACTCAATTTTTATCTTAGTGAAGGCTTTGGGCATGACATGATATTTCACTTAGATGTAAAGGATATATAGGATGTCTGGGAATGGGAGGAGAATTGTTTCAGACAAAGACGGGAATGCACAAAGCCTTTGGAGAAGAATTTGGTAAGGCTTGGAATTTCTGAAGCCAAACAAAGCTGAAAAGATATTCTTGTTCCAGACCCTAGAGAACCTTAAGAACTAGAAAAAATAATCTGAACTTTATTTGTAAGGCATGAGGGGCCTTTGAATATATGTGAGAAGGCAATGACAAGGTTATAAATGGGTTGGAGGAGGATCAACATGGCAGTACAATATCTGGATGGTTTGGGGAGAGAAGAAACTGAAGATAAGAGGTCTACAAGTGCTTTCTAATGGGCCACCTGCAACTGGGAGCCCCTTGGTGGATGGGTCTGAACTAAGGCCATGACTCTGGGAAGAAGAATGAGGTAATTTACAGGAGACACATTTCAGAGACTTCAAACTGACCAGTGGCAAGGCTTACAGAGATAGAAGGATCAAAGGTGACTTTGAAGTTGGATTATGGCTCTCTGGGAAACAAATGATACCATTAACAGTTAGAGGAAAATCAGAAGTAAGGAAGAGAAGACTTGAAGTAGAAAATAAATTCAGTTTTAGGTAGGCAGAATTTTTTTTAAAGATAACTGCCTTTGAAGATATGCACACTCACAATCTAGTCAAACTGCCTTTTCTCAGGTTTCTACATACCACTTCCAAAGTGAAAATGTACGAAAATTAGCAACTTTTACATACATTTGTAATCTGTTATAAATCATCAAAGTATGTAAATTTCTCCCCTTCATAGAAAAAAAAAAAGAAGAAGAGAATCAGCCTTTTGGTCAATAGAACTGTGCTTGAGAAGGTTTCCAACCATTGCTCCCATTGGTTTTGCTGATGAAATGAAAGTAAGTGAAGATTATATTTGTCTCTGCATTTTTCAACATTCGTCAGTTCTTCTTCAGGTGTAATAGATGTGGCACATCTGTTCAATACTTGGGCTCTGTGACTAGACATACAATTTTAGCAGTTGGGGAAGAAAGTAATATCCTGGTGGAAAGACTGCAAAATTAGGAGAAAGAATAAAAATCTTGCTATTTTAAGAGCTTAGGAAAAGGCATGTAGTGGGCACACAACTATGCATGGCGATTTATATGCTTTCTGCTTAATGTGATGAAAGCTAATTTATATGAAAGAGTTTGAAGGGATGTTGTCTGTTCCCTTTTCTGTAAATAATAATATAGCTTCAATAAAAAAACCAAAAACATGTATGTGCCTAGTTTGCTTTTTTTTTCTTCTTCTTCTTTTCTGAGACTGAGTCTCGCTCTATTGCCCAGGCTGGAGTGCAGTGGTGCAATCTCGGCTCTCTGCAACCTCCACCTCCCAGGTTCAAGCGATTCTCCTGCCTCAGCCTCCCAAGTAGCTGGGGTTACAGGTGCCTACCACCATGCCAGGCTAATTTTTGTAGTTTTAGTAGTGACAGGGTTCCACCATGTTGGCCAGGCTGATCTCGAACTCCTAACCTCAAATAATCCACCCACCTCAGCCTCCCAAAGTGCTGGGATTACAGGCATGAACTGCGGCACCCAGCCCAGTTTGCTCTTCTTTCTGCCTAAATTGCCCTTTTCCTTTTCCTAGATCTTCACGGGGCTGGTTCCCCTGATCATTCAGGCTTCAGCTTTTATGTCACCTCCTCAGAGGTGAGATTCAATCACACTGCACCACTATGTTTTCTATTTCTTTTCTTCTTCTTTTTCTTTGTTTTTGTAGAGATGGGGTCTTGCTATTTTGCCTAGGCTGGTTTTGAACTCCTGGCCTCAAGCAATCCTCCTGGCTCAACCTCCCAAAGTGCTGGGATTACAGGTTTGAGCCATTACACCCAGCCCTGTGTTTCCTATTTCTTACCATACTTATCATACTGTTTTCTTATGTACTTGTTACTTTGCTTGTTTGTCTGTCTCTTCCCCTAGCATGTCAACTTTCTCATTGCAGGGCCCTGGTCCTCCTTGTTCAATGCTTTGTCCCTAGAACTCAGAACTCAGAACAGTATCTAACACAATAGACACTCAATAAATAAATAAGTATTTGTTAAATAACCAAATGAATGACCTCCTTTCATCTTTATAATGGCCCTCTGGGCTAAACATTCCTACATTTACAGATGAAGAAACCAAATGGAAAGATATTAAGTAATTTTCCCAAGTGGTGCTACTGAGATGCATGAATGAGTATCATCTTAATACACTCATTACATTTAAAAGAAATAGGAAAGATTCTCTCTTCTGTCTCTTCATCTCTGAGCATGAATGATCTCAACTTTTGCTAGAAAGATATCTTATTTCTCTTTAAATTATCTGTAGGAGACTCCAGGTCTCAATCGTAACATGTTTTTAGTTTTAGTGTCTCAAAACCTTCACTGTCTTTCCAGTACTACTTAAAAAAATTAAAATTTCCTAAGCTGGGCACGGTGGCTCACACCTGTAATCCCAGCACTTTGGGAGGCTGAGGCAGGTGGATAACCTGAGGTCAGGAGTTCAAGACCAGCCTGGACAACATGACGAAACCCTGTCTCTACTAAAAATACAAAAATGAGCTGGGCATGGTGGCAGGAGCCTGTAATCCCAGCTACTTGGGAGGCTGAGGCAGGAGAATAGCTTGAACCTGGGAGGCAGAGGTTGCAGTGAGCTGAGATGGTGCCATTGCACTCCAGCCTGGACAACAAGAATGAAACTTCGTCTCAAAAAAAAAAACTTTGTCCTTATTACAAAGTAATGTATATTTACTATTTAAAAAAACAAAGAGAAAACAAAAGAAAAAAATCCATCCATGTATATCCACAATCTTGTTAGCCTCACTAAAACATCTTGCTATTAATCATTTCCAATAACATATGATAGACACGTTATGTTTTAAAATTGATTTAAAATTGATTACTTACATATTATTGTATTTTATATATTATTTAGATATTTTCATATGACTATTCATTTACATAATGTTGAATGTCTATGTGATATTTCTATTGTATATGAGGATACAGCATAATTTACTTAATCAAAGCCTTTTTTTCCTCTTGAATTTTACTTTATTGGTACATCACCCTAATTATCTCTCTTTTTCAACTGCAATATTGAAGTGTAATCTACTTACCTTAAAACTCACCCGCTTTTAGTGTAAGGTTCTGTGAGTTTTAGTCAATTTAAATAGTTGTGCAACCATTATCATAATCTCTTTTTTTAAAGATGGTGTCTCACTATGTTGCCCAGGCTGGTCTTGAACTCCTGGGCTCAAGCGATCCTCCCACCTTGACCTCCCAAAGTGCCAGGATTACAAGCATGAGCCACTACATGCAGTCCCTTGCTCTTTTTTTAAAAATTAATTTTATTAATGTATTTTTTAACCCTATATAGCCAAATTATTATCACCTCAATATATAATCAATATAAAAACGATTGGCCCAGTGCCATGGCTCAGGCCTATACTAGTGCTTTGAGGCAGGAGGCTCACTTGAGCCCAGAAGTTCGGGCAACATAGCAAGACCCCATCTCTACCAAAAATTTAAAAATTAGCAAATTAGACAGACCTAAAAAAAAAAAAAGAGAGCTCTCTACAAAAAATAAAAATAATTAGCTTCGTACGGTGGCCCCCACCTGTAGTCCCAGCTACTGGGGAGGCTGAGGTGGGAGGATCCCTCGAGCCCAGTAGGTCAAGACAGCAGAGAGCCCCGAGGCTGCAATGAGCCCCATTGCACCATGCCATTGTACTCTAGCCCGGACGACAGAGCAAGATCCTGTCTCAAAAAATTGAGAGTTTTTTTTTTGGAGTGGGGGGATAGTGAATCTTTGGAGTCTTGTGTATTTTACACTCACAGCGGACCTCAATTCGGACTAGCCATGTTTTAAAAATTTGTGGCTACCATATTGGCAGGTGAGGGCTGCTGGCCTGCTGGGGAATCCTGCAGGTCAGGTCACGTCCTCAGTTGTGAACTGGAGGAGGCAGGTGCCGGGTGCATTTTCCTCTCTAGCCTGGGAGGAACCCCTCAAAGGTCCTTAGAGTCTTTCCCTTGTGGTTGCACATGGCAAGCATGGGCTCCAGGGAGATTCGCATAGTTCCGTGAGCATGGAGGGAACGACTGGGCCTTGGAGATCCCGATTGCTTCCATCGAAGGGTTTTGCATCGGGTAGAGGGTGTATGAGGGGTAGGGGGTGTACGAGGAGGGAGGTGCGGGGCTGGGGGACGTGGAGGGAAAGCAACCGGGTTTTTTTCTTTCCCTTCCCTTCCCTCTTTCATTTCCTTTCTGTATTTCCTGTTTCCTCCCTATTTTCTTGTTTTTCTTTTTTCCTTCTTAAATCAATATAAGCAATAGTGCATTGAGCATCCTTTAATACAGATCTTTGCACACTCATCTAGCTATTTTATTAGAACAAATACGCAGGAAGTTTTTGCCAGTTTTATTTCCACCCAGCAGTATGTAAACCTGTCTGTGTTCTTAAACCTTTGCCCTTCACTCCACTTTCTTTCCCCTACTGACTTGCTAAAGATTTTTGGTATTTGTTCAAGGATATTTTTCCAATTTCTCTGCTTTTTATTGCATTTTTGCCCCCTGCCCCTGCTGTCTGCCTTTAACTTTGTTTATGAGTATAGGGAGGCAGGCTGAGGAAGGGCAAATATGGGATTGACCACACTTCGGCACTAGATAGCTCTGTGACCTTGTGTAAGTGATTTAGATGTCATTTTCCCTGACGTGTGTAAAATGGGGAGAATTACTTTATAGGGTTGTTATTAGCATCAATGAGTTGCATATGTAAAATACTTAGCACAGCGCCTGGCACTTAAGCACTCAATAAATGGTAGTTATTATAATTTACAGAAAGTTTGAATGTTTATTTAGTCATATTTACTTTCTCCTTAGTCATAGGTGCTATGCTTAGGAATTACCCAAAAGTTATAAGACTATTCACCTATATTTTCTTCTGGAAATCTAGAATTTCTATGGTTTTGTATTTTAAATTTAAAATCTTTAATTCATATGTAATGTATTGTGCTGTATATTATGAAATCATGATCTGATTACATCTTTCTTTCTTTATGGCTAATCAGTTTTCCCAACACTTATTGAACAAACCATCCTTTGCTCACATATTTGAAACATTATTTCTGTCCTATACAAAATTCCCACATAGACATAAACTAATTCCTGCATTTTCTCCTTTGCTTCATAGATGTGATTATTTCTGCATTGACTATTGCTCTGTTTTATTTATTTTGGCTTTATGATATGCTTTAATATTGGACAGGGAAAGTGCCATCTCATAATTATATCTTCCAAAGTTTCTAGGATATTCCTATATACCAGTATTTTTACATTAACTTTAAACTTGGCAAGCTGACACTTAAGTAATTCTGACTAGCAATAAATAAATATATTAAACTGATGGAGAATATCTTACAGCACAATATTTCCATGTAGGAACATAGTATGTCCCTTAATTTGTGTTCTTAAACACAGTAAAACTTCATAGTTATCTTAATGTTAGTAGTGAATATTGCCTGTTAAGTTTATTCCTAATATTGCATATTTTTTACTCTTGTGAATGCTATCTCTTTGACCTTTTTTCCTCACTAATTATTGTTCTTATATAGACATTTATTTATTTATTTCCTTATTTATTTTTTAGAAATTTTTATTTTATCTTATTTTTAGGTTGCCATTGCAACTAGCCACCTTATGGAATTTATCTATTCCTACACTGAAAGTTGATTGTATTGATCTCTTTTCAAGCAGGTAATCCCATTATTTGCAAATATAATTCAGTCTCTGAATTCTAATATTTATAACTTTTTTTTTGTTTTATTACATTGGTTAGAATGTTTCAAACACTGTTTAATAACAGAAATCCTCATTTTTTTCCTAATGTTCCTATCTATTGAAAGGCCCCTTATGTTTTACTTTTGAGGGTAAAATTTGCCATCTTTTCAATATTGTTTTTCTTTTACACTTGTTTTTAAACGTGTTCTTACTTATGCTATAATCAATAGAAAGAGAGAACATTGGCTTATCATTTCCTTTTCCATACTGACAATATTTTTCTCAATGATTCAATGACTATCATTTATTTCAGTCAAAAATTGTATCATCCCTATGCCTTCCAACAGATAATTTTCCGGAAAAAACTAGTTTTGTTTTGTTATTTTCTTTTTGTTACCTTTGCAGAGGAAAGGCTGACGACATGTTGATCTTTTTCATTGGTTACGATCTCGGCGATACTGAACATGTGTCCTACAAGTTTCCCTACTGGCTTGGTGCTGATATTGGGGTGCCACAACCGGATGACCTTATCATCTCCTGAAAAGGAGGACAGGGAAAGATTGTTGGTTTTCTGAGGTGGTCAGAGTTTCAAATGTATCTCTCACTGTATCATACCCGTATCTTTCTTCGAACAGCAAATCACAGTCCGTTTCTGGCAGGATGCATTATTCTGTGATTGATGTGCTAAGGGGCTGGCCTTGGTTTGGATCTGCTGCTTCTTGTGAAGGCTGTTTTGTAAAGACTGTATTTACATACACAAATGTGAATTCTCATAAATATTTTATGAGTTCTTTTCTTGACTCAATCCTTTCCTATACTTTGATGCATTAATGTATTATTTATACTTTATTTACTTCCAAAGATATTTAAGGCAGCTGTTCTTTTGTTTTCATTCTTAAATTATGCAAACATTATAATAATGAAAGAAATCAAGGACAGAGGAAACTGCACTTAATCTTCACCATTATAACAAATCAACTGTTGTCATTTTTCCGTCTTCCCTTCTAGCATGTATTCATAGGCATATATAATTTATGTGTAGTTACTACCATAGAATAAATATGGTTTTTTAATTGCTAAAAATCATAGAAGGGCATAATTTTTATAAAAATGTCTTTTCCTCCATAATCTCTAACTCCCTGTGGGAAATCACTGTTAACTTTTTAAAAATATAAATTAGATATATTTCTAGATACATATTTATACCCACTACTTTTTTTTATTTAGGAAAGGCCACGAGCTCATGCCCGCATAATTATCCTTTTAGTTACTATTTCAGAATTTCTTAACCCCTTGTCCATTGATTAGTCCACTAATTCTAGTTTTTTACTTTATTCAGCAATACTGCAACGAATGGTTATTGTACTTCTGTGGTCTTTTTTTCCTTTTGGATTATTTACTGTGGATAAAGTCCCAAGTGTGGTATCATTATGTTACAGGCTATATACATTTTTATCACTTTTAAACATATTGCTAGCTTACTTTCCAAAATGGCTGTACTAAATCCCAAGGCCATCAATGATATATTCTGTCAGTTTCATTAAATTCTGGCCAGCACATGAATATTGTCATGATTTAAAATGTTTGCTATGTTAATAGTTCTAAATGATACCTTATTTTTAATTACATTTTATGATAGCTAATGCCGTTGGGTATTTTTTCCCAAATATATCTGCTAATTGTATCTTCTTCGTCTGTAAATTTTTTGACTATATCCTTTAGCCATGATCTATTGGAATTTTGACAGCACTGAAAATAAAAGTTGAACCAAGAATGTATTATCATATGTACACACACACACACACACAGTTTTATGAAAAAACTGGCTGCATTTTCACCAAAACCATATCCTCTCTTCCTGGATACACATTTCCAGGCTCCTTTGCAGTTAGGCGTGGTCAGATTACTGAGTTTTCGCCAGTGAATTCTGAGAGCTGATTTTAAACTTTACATTTTCATTGTGTCTGACCCATTCACATTTTGGGAGTTATTTTTTACAGTAGCCAGCATTACTTAAACAAATGTGCAGCTGTAATCTAATTATGTTTCCAAAAAGAATAAAAACTGTAATCATTTACAAAACATAGAATATTTTTAAGATATTAAATTTTATATTTCACAAATAGTTCTTTAAATGTCATCCTGGAAACTGAGTCATAAAAACATCAAAGAACTTCAAACTGGGATCCTAGAAGTTGCATAATCCAACTTTCTTATCTCACAAAAGAAAGAAACTAACTCCCAAAGATTAAGTAATTTTAATTGAATGATTTAATTTAATTATTTAAATGTGATTTGTACATCTGAGAAAATGGAATTGAGTTAGTAATACAACAAAGCATGCCTAAGCACCTTACATATTACCAAGGACCTTTAGGCTACTAGACAAAAAGGCTGTATAAAGGCGTTATAACCTAAGTTATAATTTATGTATAACCTAAATTATTAACAGTCATAATTTACATATAAAAAGCCTAAAATTCAAAATAGTCATTTTACATTCTTCACAGAATTAGAAGAAACTATTTTAAAATTTAAGTGGAACCAAAAAAGAGCCTGAACAGCAAAGACAGTCCTAAGCAAAAAGAACGAAGCTGACGGCATCACACTATCCCACTTCAAACTATACTACAAAGCTCCTGTGACCAAAACAGCATGGTACTGGTACGAAAAGAGACACATAGACCAATGGAACATAATAGAGATCTCAGAAATAAAACCACACATCTACAACCAGCTGATTGTCAACAAACCTGACCAAAACAAGCAATGGGGAAAGGATTCCCTATTTAATAAATGGTGCTGGGAGAACTGGCTAGCCACATGCAGAAAACTGAAATTGGTCTCTTTTCTTACACCTTATACAAAAATTAACTCAAGATGGTTTAAAGACTTGAATGTAAACCCCAAAACCATAAAAGACCTAGAAGAAAATCTAGGCAATACCATTCAGGACATAGGCATGGGCAAAGACTTCATGACAAAAACACCAAAGGCAATGGCAACAAAAGCAAAAATTGACAAATGGGATCTAATTAAGGAGCTTCTGCACAGCAAAAGAAACTATCATCAGAGTGGACAGACAACCTACAGAATGGGAGAAAATTTTTGCAATCTATCCATCTGACTAACATCTAATATCCAGAGTCTATAGGAACTTAAACAAATTTACTAGAACAAAAACTACCCCATTAAAAAGTGAACAAAAGACATGAACAGATACTCCTGAAAAGAAGACATTTATGCGGCCAAAAAACATATTAAAAAAACTCAACATCGTTGGTCATTGGAGAAATGCAAATCAAAACCACAATGAGATACCATCTCATGCCAGTGAGAATGGTGATTATTAAAAAGTCCAGAAACAAGAGATGCTGGCAAAGTTGCGGAGAAAAAGAAATGCTTTTACAGTGTTGGTGGGAGTGTAAATTAGTTCAACCACTGTGGAAGGCAGTGTAGCGATTCCTCAAATATCTAGGGACAGAAATACCATTTGACCCAGCAATCCCATTACTGGGTATATACCCAAAGGAATACAAATCATTCTATTATAAAGATACATGGCTGCGTATCTTAATTGCAACACTATTCACAATAGCAAAGACATGGAATCAACCCAAACACCCATCGATGATAGATGGGATAAAGAAAATATGGTACATATACACCATGAAATACTGTGCAGCCATAAAAAGGAACAAGATCATGTCCTTTGCAAGGATGTGGATGGAGCTGGAAGCCGTTATCCTCAGCAAACTAACACAGGAACAGAAAACCAAACACTGTATGTTCTCACTTATAAGTGGGAGCTGAACCTTGAGAATGGACACATGGACTCACGGTGGGGAACAACTCACATTCACTGGGTGGTGAGGAAGAGAGAGGATCAGGAAGAATAGCTAATGGATGCTGGACTTAATATCCAGGTGATAGGTTGATCTGTACAGCAAACCACCATGGCACATGTTTACCTATGTAACAAACCTGCACATCCTTCACATGTACCCTGGAACTTAAAATAAATTTGAAGGAAAAAAAGAAAATAAATAAATTTTTAAAACCCAAAATAGTAATTCTAGTTAATCTGATATTATATATTGGGCCACCCATTAGGATGTATTTCCTGATGTATATTGGATTTTTATTTTGATAGATTATCCACACTGAAAGGGCATGTCAGGTATGGAGGGATAATTAGGTGACTTGTTAGTTGGGTATTTATAAACCAGGCAAATTTGATAGATGCTTCCATAATTCTATGATTATTTTATTGGGCCTCATGAAAAAGCATAGTATTTTTCTCTACCTTTTTTCTCTTCTTCGAGTATCCCAATCCATCCATCAAGTCTCAGCATAGCTTTTCCTCCAGTAATATTCCAGAATACTTCCATATTCTTCAAACCTGAGTGCCCTACCTATGTGCCTCCTTCATCCCCATCATCCTTCATAGTTAATTATTTGTCTGGACCACTATTAGACTCCAGGTGCCTTGAGGACAGGACTTGTTGTTGTTTACTGTCACATATAATCTATAGTAAGAATTCAAAAGATATTTTTTGAACCACTTCAATAACTTCATTGTTGGGATGATGAATCACAGCTCAGAGGTTTAACTATCAAGTCCCCAAAGAGGGGAAAAACATGTATTCAAACAAAAAAATGGATCTTCATTGAATGTTCATCTAATTTTTTTGGAAGGTCATTTGTTCATTTCAGAGGCTCTCACTTCTTGGAGTGTTATTAAAGGCAGGCTGAAAAAAACTCATTGCATAGCTGATGGTTTCCATTTCTTAAGAATTGCAATTGAGTGAATTCATTCCCTCCCAAATTTATATATTGAAGCCCTAGCCCCAACACGATGGTGTTTGGAAATGGGGGGCCTTTGGGAGATAATTAGGTTCCAATGAGGTAATGAAGGCGGGCCCTCATGATGGGATTAATGTCCTTATTAGAAGAGACACCAGCTCCTGCTGCCCCAACCCACCCTCTCTCCCCTCTCTCTCCCTGCCATTTGAGAACATGGAGAGAAGGCAGATGTCTACAAGCCAGGAAGAGAGCTCTCGCCAGAAACTGACAATGCTGGCACCTTGATCCTGCACTTCTAGCCTCCAGAAAATTTCTGTTGCTTAAACCTTTCTGCTTATGGTATTTTGTTAAGGCAGCTCAAGTTGGCTAAAACATCAAACAAGATATTGGAGGGGTTGTGGTTAATGAGGAAATGGAATATTTTCTTAAATTTCAAACTTTCATGCTGCCCTTATTAACAGCAAGAGAGAAAAATCTCTTGAGAAGCTAACTGTGCACTTAGAAATTTTTTTAAATCTATGCTCCCCCTTCTCTTCTGATACCTTTGTGCCCTTAGTATTTTGCAAGATGTGAAGGATACAAAGAAATTCTAGATATTGTTCCTGCCCAAGGTCTACTTTTTCAGAAGACCCAGGTTTACACCCTTTTAGACTTAGTTTGGTTATTACTCTCCGCAGCGCCTTCCCTAATCACCTTCCTCTGCCCTAAACGGAGTTCAGACTCCTTCTTCTGTGTTTTTACTGTGCTTTCTTCAGCTTTCTTTTACAGCACTCATAATTGTCTGTTTACCTATCTGTTTACCCATTATCTGGTGAGCCTAGTAGTTCTCATTGATAGCAGTGTTTGGCAAGTAGTAAGTGCTTAATACATGTTTGCTAAGTAAATGAGTTGGCTTGTAGAGTCACTCATGAAGTGGTTAAGGACACGTATTTTGAGCGAATCATATTTGATTTGAAACCTGGCTCTACCCCTTAACTAGCTTTATGACTTTGAGTAAGTTGCTTTGCCTCTCTGCATCTGAGTTTTCTTACCTATAAAATGAGGATAAATGGAAGTTAACATCATAGTTTTATTGTGAAGATTGAGTGGAGTTGTAAATGTGTAACTGAACAGTTTCTGGACCGTAAACTAACAATTACTATTACTATTATTCTAAGTTCCTACAATGCATTTAGATTATATTTAGGGGAGAGGAACTGATACACAGATATATGAAATATGATCCCTGCTCTTGAGAGTTCACAATCTAGTAGTAGCAATAAGGTAAGGAGATATAGAGGGTAAACAACTATTTGTAAAGAGTATGTCAAATCTGAAGATAGGTCTTTATACTATAAATATTATGGCTCATAAAGAGTTAATTCCCTGTTTTTTTGTTGCTTTCTATTTTTTCTTTCTTTTTTTTTTCTTTTCTGCGTGTGTGAAGCCAGAATTTAGATAAAAGTCACATATCAAAGAGAGGATTTTCTTTCCTTTAGCAGATTCTTCTCTCAGTTGGGTGAGTCACTTCATCTAAGTGCATCACTCTTGATGAGATGAGCGGGCTTAGTTCACACAAAAAAGCAGGAGAGAGATAGCATCTAGTAAACCAGATTTCTGTGGTCCAGGAAGAACACAGGGCTGAGTGGGTGCAAAGAGAACTGATTCAGTCTCAGCTCTGCCAGCTAACTAGTTGTGCGACTTGTCTGGGGTCTCGATTTCCTCATGTAAAATTATAATCTTCAAGGCTCCATCCAGCTCTAAAATTTCATGATTATGTGCTCCGGAGGGAGACATCACTACAGTGAAAGCAGAGGGCAATCTGGAATTTTCATAGGTAGTAAGAAACTCACCAGATATTCAGTTACATGATTCAAACTGACTAATTCCAATAATGCAGTATCTTGACTGCATTTGCTTTTCATTGGGAATTGTCAAGATGTGTCATGCTATTCAGACATGTTCAGAACCTAAGCCTTGCACCCATAGGTGATCTTACATCATGTTGGTGGGACATCCCCTGAAATGGGCATTATCATTCCTGGATGATGAGGCTGGCAATAGGCTATATCCCCAGAAGAAAATCTATGACTTGTATATCACACGAAGAAGAATGCAATAGAGATCTGCCACCTGAGAAATATCTAGGCCTCTTAAACTAATGGCTTTGTCCGTTATTCGTTGTGAAGAAAATCCAATCTTTTGGAGGTTCCCTATTGCCTACTCCACAGATGTCCTCCAGCTCTGCTTGCTTTCGTTGCTTGGAATGGAATCATATGTGGTGGCTTTGTGGAGGCAGAATTAGCAGAAAGGGACAGATGCGAAGCTCTCAAAGCCTATACTATTTCATCTGTATTATTATCACCATCGCCATCATCATCATCATCATCATCATCATATGTTGATTCATGCTATACTTTGTAGTTACCTATAAACTTGTCTTACACTATTAGGCTTTAAATGTTCGCAGGTTAGGAATACAACCTGACCTTTATAAGGTTAATAGCCTAGTCTATAGCAATTGTGCAGAAAATATTTGTTGAACAAAACATGAAAAAAATGCATGCAGAGCCCCCAAAATATCTTTTTGGGAGGTAATTGTGTTCCTACTCTGAATCTTCCATACTAAGAACTTAATTCCTAAAAGGCTAGTGCAAACACTGTTCAGCAAAAATATTCTTGATGGTCACCAAAATAATGCTCAGGAAATTTTTAGGTTTTCTTGGTAAACACTCTGTCCTGGTTTGGCTTTTTTTTTTTTCCTGCAAAAGCTTGTGCTTTTTTGAAGCTCATCAAATGTCCCTGCACATTTAACACATTCAGCTATGCCTAGCAAAGCTGCTTTTATTGTATATTTTGAGTCGTCAGCGGGTACATACCGTACATTTAGCAATGGTGCTTGGCTGAGTCACTAATCAACAAGAGTACTCTCCTGAGAAAAATGTGTTTTCAGTTACTGGGAATTTGCATTTTCTACTAATAGAGGCTCCATAACTGTGACAATTCAATAAATTATGCATGATGAAAAGTATTAGTTGCTTGTCGGTCATACTACTAAGTGTTTTCTTCCCTTGGTGAGAGAGCTAGAAAACCTATAATAAACACGTTTTCAAGCTGTAGATGAGGGTCTTATAATATAATGAACACTGAGGTTAATGAGAGTCAAATGACTTAATCCAAAAACACTGAAGTGGTTTAAGTCCTAAAACTTTACCAAACACATTTTTCCCCCAGAAATGATTAAAATACTAAGATTACAAAGCCTATAAAAACTGGTCAGTTCTTAACATTTTGTATTCTTTTGTGTGTGAGGGCAAAGAGCTGTGAAGAGGAGTTGGTTAAGATTAATGTGACAGCATAATGTGACAATCAGATTTTAGAATCAAATTTCACATTAGCCATATATTTACGTACTGCTTTTTCAAAGGGTTTCATGTGCAGGGTTTGCATTGAAAGAGGAAGAGGGCTAATATTTTTGCCTAACTAAAGACATGCAACGGCGACAGGAGGATTCATTGCAGTTTGATTCTCAAACATGTTTGCTGCTTTATCTCTCACACCAAGGGGCTCTCCCTCCCTCATCTCTTGCATCCTCCTTCTGATGTGTGATCCAAACCAAAAACTGTGCCCATTTCCGTTGGAAGTAATAAGCCAAGACAGTCATTAACTCAGGAAGGAGCAATGGGGATCAAGCAGTTGGGATATAAGTAACCCACGTCTTTTTCTGAAAGTATCCCACTTCTTTTTCTGATTCTAGCATTTGTTTCTTGATGTCTTCTAGACTTCAGTATGGAGATCTTTAAATAACTGTAATTAGTTTGGTTGAGAGACTTGGATTCCTGTTTTTCTTAGAATCATCACTACCAAGTATCAAGAAACTTGCTCCCTACCCAAGCCATGACTCCCACACACTTCTTTACAGACTTCTTATCCATATGCCTTCCTTTCTTTTCTTCATGTCCTCACTTGAGTCTTAGAGGTTTGTGGACAATTAATGTTTTGGTATTTCTGAGTGCACAAAGCTGTAATTATATATTGAGTAGCATCTAATTGGCAAACTGGGTTCCAAATTTTCCAAAGGACATTTTTAGTTTATCTCCCTGTGAACAGGCAGTTCTTTAAAAAATAGAATCACAGTATTTTAGGCTCAGAGGGATCTTGAAATGTATTTAGTCCCACTTCCTCATTTTCACCAGATAAGGAAAATGAGCAAAAGGGAGCAATTAAGTGATTGCTGAAAAATCAGAGTTGGTGATTGGCCAGGCGATGGCTAAACCCAGCTATTCTAACTTCTAGTGCATTGTTTTTATTTGTTGTGCTTGCCAATAGGCTACTATATTATCTTTGTAATACTGTTGGAACCATAAGCTAATTTCAGTTTAGTGTTATAGAAGGCCCAGAGCTGAGCATAGATTTAAATATAAATTTTGAATGCACAGTGTACTTGAAAAAAAAATTAACTTTATGCCCTTAGGGGAGATTCCCCAGCCATGAAATAGGAGCTCAGCTGTCTTTATATTTAGCAATATAGGCACTTCAGGGATTAGGCAGGACACTTTAGATAGGAAACCAAACCGCCTGCTGTGTATGTTTGAGAGTGAGAAATTTGAAAAAATCTTATGATAGACAGAGCCAATAGCACTTACTCATTAAACATCATGGCTCCTTTAATAGATATTTTTGCTGTAAACTCTTTTGCCAATGATGTATTTATTGATTTTTTTCTTGATGACAGAGTTTTCTTCTTTTTTAAAAAAATATTTATTGTTTCTTCCCTTTTTAAAGTTTGGGTTTGCAATGTAGGCCACTTTCTTGATGTTTGTTTGTGTTTCTGTTTTGCTCATTTAAGTCTTGCAAGCCTACATGCCTTCTGTCTTTTACAAGGCCACCCTGGCCTCCTTGAGGAACCTCTGGGAGCTCATCTTCTCCCAGATCCAGGTAGCCTAGGGAGCCCTGACATCATTCATCTCCAACCAGATCTTTTCCTGTCACCAAAAGGAATCTTCTCTTGAATGTCCAATCAACACTTGACATTTAAGTTCACAATTGAGCTTTCTTTTGTTCTTCTTCCCCAGGTAAGCACCCACTTCCTAATTTCTGTACAACTATCAACACAATTGCTACTCTTTCATTTCTCCCACCATACAAACGTGGAGCTGGTTGATTTCTCTTACTAATCCCCAAAAGCATTGCATCTCCAAGTCTTATGAATAATTAATTTCCCATGTCTTTGAGGTCGAGTCTTTCTTTTTTTAAATAATAGCACCTACAGTAATTCAGACCCTCTCCATCTGACTCATGTCTTCTCTAACAGTCTCCTAACTAGAATCGCAAATTTCATTTTATCCCAACAAAACCTCCACCTTTGCCAAAGTGATTTTGCCAATGTGTTTAAACAGAGAGGATTAATATTTATTGAGAACCTATTATGCACCAAGCATAAATTATCTCAATCAATCTCAAACACCATCCTATGAAGTAGGCATCCTTCCTCCCTCCCTCCCTCCCTCCCTTCCTTGCTTTTTCTCTTTCTTTCTTTCTTTTTTCTTTCCGTTCCTTCTTTCTTTCCCTTCCTTTCTTTCCTTCCTTCCTTTCCTTCCTTTCTTTCCTTCCCTTCCTTCCTTCCCTTCCTTCCCTTCCTCCCTCCCTCCCTTCCTTCCTTCCTTTCCTTCCCTTCCTCCCTCCCTCTGTCCCTCCCTCCCTCCCTCCCTTCCTTCCTTCCTTCGTCCTTTCTTTTTGAGACAGGGTCTTGCTCTGTCATCCAGGATGGAGTGCAGTGGCACAGTCACGGCTCACTGCAGCCTCAACATCCTGGGTTCCAGCAATACTCACACCTCAGCCTCTCTAGTAGCTAGGGCTACAGGTACACACCAAATGCTCAGCTAATTTTTAATTTTTTTTTTTTGTAGAGACAAGGTCTTACTGTATTGCCCAGGCTAGTCTTGAGCTCCTGGGCTCAAGCGATCCTCCTGTCTCAGCCTCCCAAAGTGCCGGGATTATTGGTGCGAGCCACTGCGCCTGTCCAGGTGTTATTTTCTTATTGTTTGTATTATTAATAACAAATTTGTATTGAGGACTTTGAATTAGTTTAGTTTTGTTGCTATTGTTGTTGTTGTTGTTTTGAGACAGGCTCTTGCTGTTGCCTAGGCTGGAGTGCAGTAGCACAAACATGGCTCACTGCAGCCTCAACCTCCTGGGCTCACGTGATCCTCTGCCTCAGCCTCTTGAGTAGCTGAGACTAGCAGTCTTTTCATGTTGCCTAGGGCAGTCTTGAACTCCTAGGCTCAAGCAATCCTCCTGCCTCGGCCTCCCAAAGTGCTGAGATTACAGGTGTAAACCATGGAGCCCAGTCAGTTTAATTCCTATAATAACATTATGGGTAGGTACTATTATCAACTCCACTTACAAATGAGATTGGAGCTTAAAGGAATGAATAGCCTGCCCACCACACAGCTCGCAAGTGAGAGAGCCAGGAGTTGTACCCATACAGTCTGACTCCAGGGCCCAGGCTCAAGGCCATCCTATGGATATTAAAACCCCAGTATTATAAATAAGGAGTCTGAGTCTCAAAGATCATTTCAGTCCCCTACCTTCCCCCGACAAAACTTATTGTGTTACCTTTTTCCTTCCTCTTAGCAGATAACCTTTTTTGTTATTTTCTACCTAACCTATCCCTTAAATGTTGGTATTCTTCAAGATTGTCTTCCTGGTCTTCTCATCTGTTAACTCTAAACCATTGGCTCTTGACCTTTTTGGTCATGATCTCCTCTGGAGGATTTGATGAAATTTTGAAATTTTTCTCCAGAAAAAGGCACACGCACACACATAAGTGCCGGGGGCTCCAGGTCTCCTGGGAGACCTAGGAACTCATGCTCTCACACATAAAATAAGCTCCAGATGGATTAAAGCTCTAAAGGTAAAACAGAAAACAAAACAGTAAGAACAAATTCTAGTAAAATACAGGAAAATTTCTCTCACACACTCTTGGGCTGAAGAAGGCTTTTCTAAGTATGTTATCAAATCCAGACGCCAGAAAGAAAAAGACAAACAGATTTGACTTGATACAAATTTGTAAATTCCCTAATGTGTTCTTCCTAGCACCAAAACTCGAAGAGAACGATGTTTGCAAAGTAGAAAACCCCTATGTAATGTGAACCGCCCTCTCACCTCCAGTGACAATCACATTTGCCTTAACACAGTAGCAAAAAGTGTTGGCTCCTCTTGGCATGGAAAACTCTCTGACAGGCCTGGAAAACACAAATTAGATGGAAAACATATATATTTTTCTTTATCAAGTTAATTCTGACTTATAAATAGATTATGTTTGATAGGCTCATTTCTAAGTTGGTTGTAAATCCATTTGCCCCCAGGCCGTATTACAAGTAATGATTAAGTCGTAATTAACAGTAAGAATCTACTTACTCCATTATGTGGTGATATTCGCGTAGTACTTTGTATTGTTCCTGTTTAAAAGAAAATCCAGCCCTCCATGCTGGGTTTGTGGTTTTGCTTGTGGTGAGGATGGGCCGACCTGTTATAAGGTCTTAATCCGGAAAGGGTATTGGGTGGTTAAGTGAGTCTGTTGGGTAGCACATAATGCCAGGAACCCTTTTGGACACTTCTCCTTTGCTCACCAGCCACATCCAATCTGCTGTCAAGTCCTGTTAATTTTTCCTCTGAAATATACCTGAAATCTGACCACTTCTTCCCACTCCCACTGCAGTATCTTGGTTGAACTCTCCATCCTCTCTCACCAGAACTACTGCAATAAACTGGTAATTTCTCTGCTTCTACTATTTTTTTTTTTTTTTTGAGACAAGGTCTCGTTTTGTCACCCAGGCTGGAGTGCAGTGGCACAATCTTGGCTCACTGTAACCTCTGTCTCCCAGGTTCAAGCAATTTTCCTGCCTCAGCCTCCTGAGTAGCTGGGATTACAGGCATGTGCCACCACACCCAGGTAATTTTTGTATTTTTAGCAGAGATAGTGTTTAACCATGTTGGACAGGCTGGTCTCAAACTCCCGACCTCAGGTGATCCACCTGCTTCAGCCTCCCAAAGTGCAGGGACTACAGGCGTGAGCCACGCGCCTGGCCTGCTTCCACTATTGCCCATTCTTCTTTCCTCATTCCCAACCCAAATCCCATTGTCGTGCTGCAGACAGAGTGACCCTTGTAAAATATGAATTAGATCACATCACTTCTCTCCTGTGGCTCCCTGGTGCTCTAAGAAGACTTCATTTCTTTTACCTGGCTGGCCTGGCCCTGAGTGATCCCTATCGCCCTTCCAGGCTCACCCCATGCCCTCCTCTTGCCCCTGTGCTGGATTCTACTCCAGCTATACTCTCTCATCAGCCTCCCTTCTGGACATACTGAGCTCTTTCTGTCCTCAAGAGCTTTTGCACAGGCCAAAGATGTTTGTCTCCCAGACCCCAGCCCCACTAACAACCATCCTCCTTTGGGTGTCAGCTTAAATGTAACTTTCTTAGGCCTTTCTGGGACATCACCCTCCCACCCTCCCACCCATCTCCACCAGTGAAACTCTGTCTTTTGTCTTATTCTCCCTTAAAGCATGTAGCATCTACCATATATTCATATGTATGTTTCGGGTGTTAGTATCTGTGAATGGTATTGTGCCATGGTTAAAAAAGCTCAAGCTTGAGTGACAACGTGTGGGCTTCCATCCTGGCTCCATCACCGTGCTTCAATTTCCTCACTTAGTAGACGAGACAATGGACAATAATAATACCAACCTCAGAGATTAGCAACAACTGAAAGCTGTTACTTCCATTGATCAGATGGGGTAACAGGAAGAAACAGGGTTATTGGAAAACAGGGGCCACCCAGAAGAAGCCTAGACAAGAAGCCCAGACAAGGAGGTCTGGGAGGAGGCACTTGCAGAACTGAGACACACAAGCAGGGAAGGGGCAGGGAAGGAGAAACCTGGCCTTGTTGCTGTGTATGTACATGTTTTTCTTTTTTTTTTTCTTTTCTTTTTTAAAAATACAAAGGGTAGCATATACCATTCTGTTCATTGCTTTTTCACTTAATAACGTATTTTGAAGAGCTGTCTAAATCGTATTTTAAAACTGTTCTTTTTTTTTATTGCCACCAAATACTCCTTTGTATTACTAAATTAGCACTTATTTAATTTCTGAGGGGAACCCGCCTGTCTCAAATTTCCTGTGATTACAAATAATATTGTAATAAACAGTATCTTGTGAAAGGGCTATTTTTGTATATATAAGTATTTCCATTTTAGTATATATATGAATTTCTAGAAATAGTATTGCAAGTCAAAAGGTATGTGTATTTATAATTTTGAAAGATACTGCAGTTCCTTTTTATTTCTCTTTACCCTCTGGACTATACTTTTTACAGTGTATCTCTTTACAAAAACTGGGGCTCACAAAGCCTAACTTTCTTTCTTTCTTTAGTAGAGACAGAGTCTCACTCTGTTACCCAGGCTGGAGTGCAATGGCATGACCATAGCTCACTGCAGCCTCAAACTGTTGGACTCAAGCGATCCTCCTGCCTCAACCTCCCAAGTAGCTGGAACCATAGTATGAGCCCCTGCACCTGGCCAAAGCCTAACTTTAAGGTAGTTTATATTTTGGAGTTGTGTTTGAGATATTGAACCTAAGGGGTAATAACCAGAAATATCTTGCATTGCAATTATTACCCTAGACCTCGGGCAAGAATGAATTCTTGCCACAGCTGCCCAACTATTGAACTTTCATATTTCTCAATATGAAGGAAATGGATGCAAATTAAACAAAAGCCCATAGAGTGCTCAGAGCACAGTCACAAAATCAATGAGACAGCATGGAAATAAAGTCTGAACTGCAAACTTTAGGAGGATGCAGATTTATGATTTAGCTGAAACATATCTTATTAGTTTAATGTCAGAAAAAGATGTGAAAAAAAGAGTTTGCTCAACTAAATTTGAGCATCACAAAGGAGAGATCCATACTCAGCAGTTCAGGCATTCATCTGAGTCTATACTGGATACCATGGGTCATATGTAGCTTTTCCAATTAAATTACTTTATTCTTCCTTAAGCCTAAAGTAAATAGTTATCCTTAGACCTGTATATACAACTTTATCAACATCTTAACTTTACCTAGGTCAGAATGCTCAAGACCTTAGTGCAGTCGTTCCAAAATCTGATTGTGCATCAGAATCACTTTGGATATTAAAAAAGAAATTCCTAGGCTGGGTGCAGTGGCTCACGCTTGTCATCCAAATACTTTGGGAGGCCGAGGTAGGAGGATCGCTTGAGCCTGGGAATTCCAGACCAGCCTGGGCAAATGGTGAAACCCAATCCTTAAAAAAAAAAACAAAAAAACAAAAAAAAAAACCATGGACCTCAGCCCTAACTTGATAAATCAGACTCTCCAAGGGTGGAGTCATAAATGTCTATTAAATTATTTCTTAAAGGCTGGGTGCAGTGGCTCATGCCTGTAATCCCAGCACTTTGGGAGGCCAAGGCGGGCGGATCATGTGAGGTCAGGAGGTCGAGACCAGCCTGGCCAACATGGTGAAACCCTGTCTCTAGTAAAAACACAAAAATTAGCCAGGCATGGTGGTGTATGCGTGTCATCCCAGCTACTCAGAAGGCTGAGACAGGAGCTGCTGGACCCTTGAAGGGGAAGTTCCAGTGAGCTGAAATTGTGCCACTGCACTCTGGCCTGGGGAAGTCTGTCTCAAAAAATAAAAAATTCTTACAATTATTTTTCATGCACACCACTGACATTTATTTGTAAATTATGTTCATATATTACTGAATTAAAATTATATAAACATCATAAAACAGACAACAATAAAATAATGAGATAATAATTTAAAGGAAAGAAAACTTCTAGAGTTTTCTACCCCCATTTGATGGATCATCTTGCATACCCCCTGGAGTATATTCGCCCTGCTTTGCAGACCTCACAGGACATGGGCTGTCTCCTGATACAGTTTCAAGAAAGAACAAGCACTCTTTGGCTCTTCTTATGAGAGCCCCAGTAAAAAGAAGAGGTGGGATGGGCAGACTTCTATAGGGCCCTGCCATAAAGTGGATGGAGCAGGACAGGGCCGACTGGTAAAGTTGACTTAGAATATACTGTGGACGTGAGGTCAGGAGACCTAGATTCTGGCTGTGTTCTGTTGCTAAATATATGACTTTAGAAAAGTCACTTAATCTTGCTGAGCTACAGTGTCTCCACTTATGAAATCAAGGGTTGACTATGACCTAAATAGTTTCTTCCATTCTTAAAATCTTAGATATTGTCCTTCCCCTATACCTGCAGCTGGGGCAGGGGTCATGCAGGGCAACTGTGCAGCCTTTGTGGATGGCGTCCCAGAGCTGTGGGGGGCACAGCCTGCACAGCCTATCGCAGTGGTCCCTGGTTGGGGTAGACATACATGAATAAGCACTCTCATAATTCATCATACTTTCTGAGCAGCAATGCACCTAGATGAGGAGGAAGAACCAAAATCAGAACAGGCTGGTGGGTGGTGAGAGATCTTGATTTCTGGATTCTTTGAAGGTTGCTGGCTATAAAATTTTGTATTGGAAAGGCTTAGGCTTGTAATATGTTTGAAAAGTTCTGCTGTGTCTAAGATTGCTAAAAAAATTAGTTTTTCATATCAAAGAATGTCTAGGGCTCATAAGGGAGTTAAGGAGAGAGGACAGTTGACTCTAAGTGTACTCCAAAAGGGAAATACTCAAGGTAGGAAAGTTGCCAGGGGCAGCAAAGCCTATGAAGGAAGTAGAGTTTTTAGGGCTTACTCAGTGGGTCCTCAGTCAGTGAGTCAACAACATTTATGAGTGCCAGCTGTACGCCCAACACTGCCCTAGGGGATAGATACATCAGTGAACTACAAGAACAGAGGTGAGAGTGTCCATCAGTTGAGGGTCACAAACTCAAAGTCTGCAGCAGCCAGGCAGGTAAACTAGCTGGGAGAAGGGGTTGGGTATGACACCACAGGGAGAAGGGGGGCTGTGGTGAACTGAGAGTGCATGCCTGTGAAAAGGGGGAGCCCGGGCCCAGAGCCAGCCAACATGCACAACAGGAAAGGCAGGTTCACCACAACAAGCAAAGATCAAAAAAATAAGTGATCCCCCAAACACATTTTGTAGCTGCATTTGGCTAACAGGCTACCAGTTTGCAGGAATAGCTCTCATATTTTTTGAAATAGACACTACAATTAAAAATCAATTATTTAAATAAAATTTGTTAAAATACCTTGATGAGTGAGAACAATCACCTGAAAAAATTTGATTTTTAAAAATTTAATAAAAAATAATGCAAAATAACCAAATTCACTGCTAGATAGAAAGCTTTACTAAATGGAAGAGCAGGTAGTATTATCTCTATGTGAAAGAATACTTCTAAAATATTTAAAACAGTTTTTTGAACTAATTTAAATCTACTTTGTAAGTAGTTATCCTTCTATCAAATGCAAAGTTCATAAAAGGAGTCTCAATTTAGTAACATAAATCAAAAGTCAGTATTTAGGCTTTTGAAAATGCTTAAATGTCCCAGATGAGAAGTAGTTAAGTTCTAACTGATGACTCATTTACAGGTTTGCCAGTGACATACTTTGTCACCATAGCTGCTTGGCTGAATGAACTGAACTGGATGTAGTACAAACCAGGAAGGGCATTATTTTCTTTTACCCTGTCTTATCTTGTCACCTCGCCCCAACAGCAAATCTTCTTGGGCCAATTCCCATTAGGATGGCTCCAGCGAAGCTACCTTCTGTGGCCCAAAGGGAATTCACAGGATGCTGGACAGTATCAGTGTGAATGCAGCCTTGCCACTCTGTGGCGGGTTCCTCCAGCCAGGGTCGACCTGATCCTTAGGCACAGCTGGCACAAGGCCTGGAGCCCAAAGTACTTTTAGGGGCCCGTGGAAATATTCTAGTTGCACTTAAAATCAGAAGGCAAAAATAAAAGCTTAGGGTCATAGGACATTAGAATTTTTAGGGCCCATGAAAACATACTAAATTTTTCCTAAGACAGAAGAAAAATGTTGAAGACATAAAAGTATATGAAAAATAATGTGTAAGATTGATAGTATTATGGTGGGAGGGACCTATAAAGGCAAAAATGCCCAGGGCCGGGAAAGTCAGACTGTGGCCCAGCCTGCAGCCTTCAGAATTCTCCATGAGGGCCAGGCATGGTGGCTCGCACCTGTAATCTCAGCACTTTGGGAGGCCAAGGTGGGAGGATCATTTGAAGCCAAGAGTCTGAGACCAGTCTGGGCAACATAACAAGACCCCATCTCTACCAAAATTAAGAAAAATTAGCCGGGCGTGTTGGCACACATCTGTATCTGCAGCCACTCAGGAGGCTGAGGCAGGAGGATTGCTTGATCCCAGGAACTCGAAGGTGCAATGAGCTATAATCATGCCCCTGCCCTCCAGTCCAGGTGACGGGGTAACATTAAGACCTTGTATCTTTTATTATTATTATTATTATTATTATTATTATTATTATTTATTTATTTATTTTTTTAGAGACAGAGTCTTGCTCTATCGCCCAGGCTGGAGTGCAGTGGCGCGATCTCGGCTCACTGCAAGCTCCGCCTCCCGGGTTCACGCCATTCTCCTGCCTCAGCCTCCCGAGTAGCTGGGACTACAGGCGCCCGCCACCATGCCCTGCTATTTTTTTTGTATTTTCAGTAGAGACGGGGTTTCACCGTGTTAGCCGGGATGGTCTCGATCTCCTGACCTCATGATCCGCCCTCCTTGGCCTCCCAAAGTGCTGGGATTACAGGCGTGAGCCACCCCGCCCGGCCAAGACCTTGTCTCTAAAAAGAAAAAAAATAAATTCTCCATGAGGAAGCGAGTAGTGGTCATCGCGTACATGTGTCACATGTCAAGCTTGCCCAAGGTGAGCCTGTGAGTTCTGAGCCTCAGCAACTAGCTACTGGGGAGCTAGATGCGTTTCCCCACTTTAGGCTCTTCTGGAGTAGATCTTCCTGGACCTGTCAGCACTTGCTTTGTAGCACCAGAAGCTCTCGCCCCAACCGCCACTCCCATTTTGGGGAAGGCAGACAAAATAACCCTGCATTCCCCCATTGGCCCACAACCAGGTACCTTAATCCCTCTTTTCAATTATTTTTGAATTGCTGGTTGTATCATATTCACATTTGCTGGCAAGGGATGATGGTGTAAAGGTCATGGGTCTAGAGCAATCCTCTCCAGTAATTCTTGAGGATGGTCTACTATACCTCTCTTTAGAATGGCATTAGCTGAAATTCTAAGACAGCAGGAAAAGAGCCATTTAATACCCTATTAACTGATTATGAGCAAATCTAACAACCTTTTTACTTAAATTTCTCAGCATGTGGAATTGTGTTCATACTTCCCATTTTAAAAATTTCAGTTTCTTAAGGATATTTGCCCTTTAGATGTAATTACTCTATTTTCCTATAAAAAATAATGATAGGAGCCCACATAATTAAATGAATTACAAATGAGTGAACTGTGCCTTTAAATAAAACTTCTTTCAAGTAGAAAGGCTCATATAATTGATGTCAATTTGGAAAATGAAAGATGGCCTGCTTTCCAGTATTTCATGTTCATATTCAGCTGCATATCCTTTGAAAAATTGCTTTTTCATTCTGTTATTAGAAGTATCTTACTCTAACCAGCATGCATAAAAAATCAAACATTTTGTGAGAAATCTATCATGATAATATTAACCAGCATTTCGATAGCACTTTAAGAGTGAAGAGCGTTTTTTCATATACTTTCCAGTGCATTGAGATATCAGTTTGGTGTTTGGACTTGAGCCCAGGTCCACCACACTATGCTCCCTTCTCAGGATGGCAGGGGTGAGGTTGGGAAGGAAGGAGACTGTCCTCTTGGCCAGGACACCTTAGTGAGCCCCACCTGTAAACACCACCCATAGCAGAGTGGCACCAGACTCACAGTTTCGTGTACAATGTGGGCCCATGATGTTCATTAATAACAAGATAAAATGTAGATACCATGTGATATGGTTAGGCTTTGTGTCCCCACCCAAATCTCATCTTGAATTGTAATCCCCAAGTATTGAGGAAGGAACCTAGTGGGAGGTGATTGGTTCATGGGGGCGGCTTCTCCCGTGTTGTTCTTGTGTTAGTGAGTGAGTTCTCATGAGATCTGATGATTTTATAAGTGTTTGGCAAGTTCCTCTTTTGCTCACTTTTCTCTCTCCTGCCATCATGTGAAGAAGGTCCTTGCTTCCCTTTCACCTTCCGCCATGATTGTAAGTTTCCTGAAGCCTCCCCAGCCATGTGGAACTGTGAGTCAATTAACCTCTTTCCTTTACAAATTATTGAGTCTCAGATAGTATCTTTATAGCAGTGTGAAAATGGATTAATACACAACGGTTCTTTGAATATAGAAGGCTCCCAATAAATAATTGTTTGAATATCCTTAAGGGACAAATACCTGATTAACAATAACCACTTCCCGGAGTCACACAGAATAGAAATGTATTGATTCTGGGAAGTTCATTCTGACTTTTTCCCTGATCCCCCTGAAATGATAGCAATTTTAAAGAGAAACATTTTCTGACAGTTTCTTCAAAACAGAAAAAAAAAAAAAACTTTTTGATAGAGTCCCCTATCAAAAGTCCCTGGCTGAATTACCACATGCTTCATCTCAGACTTTTCTCCTGTTGTTCCATGAATTAATGAGCGTGATGCAGGGAGAGAAGCAGAGTCATCAGGTAGAAGGTAAAGGGGTGACTTTTTTCAGGGGGCATGTGTTACACGATAGGGGTTGTTCACTGAATGGAAGGCAATGCTGCAGACGGGAAGCATCCCAGGGGAACTGTGTGATTGCTAAAGAAGCAGGGCTACTGAGTCAGCAGAGTCCCTCGATATTTTCTCCCGGTGACGGTGAGGTAGTTGGTGGGGAATGAGGGCAGGAAACAAGGAATAAGGCATTTCTCTTTTCTCCTTTATGATATAAGAGGAAAGAAATTTCAGAATGCCTCAGGTAAGGCATTTTTAAAAAGTGGCCCTAACTCTGTATTACTGCCTCTTATTGATCCATATTGTGCCCATTCCCAAGGGGCAAGGGAGGGTGCAATAGAAAATTCTACATCAGACATTGGCAAAATTTTTCCATAAAGAATAAGATAACAAATATTGTAGATTTTGCCATAAAGTCTCTGTTGTCAGAACTACTCAACTCTGCCACTGTAGCATGAAAACAATCATAGATAACACAAATAAGTATGGCTGTGATTCCCTTACAGCTCTATTCATGACCAGTGAAATTTAAATTTCATATCAATTTTATGGGTCATAAGATATTATTCTTTTTTAAAACTTTTGTTTCAGTCATTGAACAATGTAAAAACCATTCTTAGTTTGCAGATGTTATAAAAACAGGTGACTCATTGGATCTGGCCTTGGGCTACAGTTTGCTAATCCCTGCTCTAGATGCAGGAACAGGAAGCTTAAACCAGTGCACAAACTAATCTATGATAGTTTCATCTCTTCTCCTTTGTATTCAAGTTCTTTCTTTTTTTTTTTTTCCTTTAAATTTTTTCAGTATCTTTCTTAGGGGAACAAGAAAAGGAGCCAACATTTATTGAGTACTTTGTGTCAGGCATTAAACAAGGCACTTTACGTGAGTTAACTTAAGTAATTTTTATAAGACTATCATGTAGGTATATTCATTACCATTTAAAGATGGGGAAACTGAGGTAAGAAGAACTAATGGTAAAGTGTTCAATGGTCACAGGGTTAGTGAGTGCTAGGACAGAAACCAGTTCTGTCTCCACAGCAACCTTACCAAGGGCAACTATACTCTTTCTAATATGATAATCTGCCTCTGAGTTGGGTAAATAATAAAAAGTAATGCTGAGTAGTTAGTTGCATATCTCTTGGAAACTGTCAAGCTATCAAAGGGTTTGAAGGTTCAGCTTATGTCTTGCAACAGGCAACATGCTTTACATGGCATAATTAATTGCAGATGTTTATTTTCTTGCTAGTACAGAACTCCATTTGTGAAATTACCATACAAAATTACAAACAGAATGGTAATCACTTCTGAATGGAAATTTTTTTGAGAGGATTTTTTTCCTGTCTTCTTGGGAGCTATTGGCTCCCAATTTAACAGCTGGCCAATTATGTATTGTATAAATGCAGCTTTATCTGGCTCAACTTAAGATTCATTATAGGAAATTACAAAAATAGAAACATGTTGAGTCTAGAGATGGAATGGACCCAATTCTCAGTCTATTGAGATGACTCTACAATGGCAGTGGCTGCTCAGGAAAACATGATTACACTACCTCACTTGAGAAACCTCTTCAGCTTCTAGATTTAGGAGTGTGGCCCAAGTGAGGAAGTAGTTGAAAAGCTCATCTAGATGAACAGATCAATGACCACTGTTTGCTGAGGTTGTCATTACTACTCAACTGACTTCCTGACTTCTTCTCAGACGAATACATTACCAACCAAATTCCAGGAAGCCCAGAACTGGGCTCAAAGACAAACTCCTGACTATTGCAAAGTAGATGTTGTTCAGAGCAAAGATCAGATTGCACTGGTTAATCAGAAAAGTAAAACCTTCTAGATAATCTAAGTGTTCACAATGACTGAGTACCAAACCTGTGGAACACGATGGAGAGTAGGAACTTAATGCCCCTACAATACCATTACGTAACTTACAAATATTTACAAATATGCATTTTGAAAAAAACATATAAACAACAAAAAATTGCTTTAAACCCAAAGAATGGCTCTGTGTGTGTGAGTGTGTGTGTGTGTGTGCGCGCATGTGCACGCATGTGTATGTGTGTGTAAATGGAATGGCGTGAATTAAGAGAAGGAGATTGTGAAAATGTGCGTAACTCAACTTTGCTCTTGAGGTTACTCCCCGCAAAAGGTATTATATTTGATTAAATCATGCTAGTTGAAGGGCATATTTTTCTTGTCAAAAAGAAGACGATGTCCAGTCTTTATATAAAAAAATATTACTATCTCATTTAAAACCTAACACAAACTTCACAACCTGATTGACAGATCCTAATGCTTGAACAAAGGGAATGTTGGCATCATCATAATTGGTTCCCAGAGGAAAATATGAGTGCCTTTCCTTTTCTCTGGTGTTGGGGTATTTATTATTTTCATGGATTTTGACAGCACACGGAAATCAAAGTCTTCTTTAAAAGTCCATTCTTCAGGAAAGCTTAAATGACTGTAAGCAAATAATAATACTTTCCATTTGTATAGCATTTTACAATTTCCAGAGCACCTTCACCATCTCAGCTTATTTGACCATCACAAAAATCCTGTGAGATAAGAAAGTTAGTGCTATTTCCATTCATAAAGGAGGTTATTGAGGTTCAAATAACTTCAGTAACATGCCCAAGACCACATGGCCAACAAATAAGTTGGCAAAGGTTACATTAGAATTCTTTTGCTCCCTTGAAGCAAGTGAGCAAAGTGCTCCCTTACTCACTTATATTCTATTATAGTAAATAGTGCCATGTAAACTGTCCTCCCAGCCAGAAGCCTGACAGTCACCTGTTCTCAAACATTCTTCCTCTAGATATTTGTATGATTTGATCTTCACCACATTCATATCTCTGCTCAAATGTTGTCTCTTCAGAGCAGTCTCTCCTGACCATCCTGTCAAATGGTCAAGGGCAAGCTCAAAGGAGGGAGACCAATTGAGGAAGATATGACAATACTACTTTAGAAGAGAAATGGTGAGCGCTTGGGCTTAACCAGTGGAAGTAGGGACAGAGAGAGAACAGATATTCTTGCACAACTTACAAGAATTGGTGGCCTACTGGATGAGAAGAATAAAGGAGAGGGAGGAATCTGTTTTTGGTCTAAAATAGGTACGCAATAAATATGTTAAGGATAAAAAAAAAAGAAACAGATTCCTCCCTCTCCTTTATTCTTCTCATCCACTAGGCCACCAATTCTTGTAAGTTGTGCAAGAATATCTGTTCTCTCTCTGTCCCTACTTCCACTGGTTAAGCCCAAGCGCTCATCATTTCTCTTCTAAAGTAGTATTGTCATATCTTCATCAATTGGTCTCCCTCCTTTGAGCTTGCCCTTCCCCAATCCATTCTCCGCTCTGCTGTTAGGGTGATCTGCTGTCAAAAACATTTTTTTACTCTCTTGTTTAAAGCATTCGATGGCTTCCGATAGCTTTCAGGTTAAAATCCCAACTCTTTAGCATGGTATGCAGGTCTTTTCATGCTTGGATTGTCTAGCCTCATCTTTCCCAACTCTTCTCTCACTCAGTTCTCCAATTATATTGAACCATTTGCAATTTTGAGAACTCACCATCTTCTCTTTCTCTTCCATATCTTTGTGAATACCACTTCTGTATTGTGTCTATTTATCCACTCTGCTACCTCTCAGTTGTTTTGCCTGACTAAGTTTTACCAATTCTTCAAAACTCGGCATTTGTGACATCTTCAGGAAGCCTTCCTCAGTTCCCCCCACCCACCCCTACAATCCTATCCTAAGATGTTCTAAGCACTCCTGTCATACCCCTCTCTTACATCTGTATCATGGCACTTATCACCCTCTGTGGGAATTCATTCATTTGTTTTCTCCTTCATTACATATGAGGTCGACAACCTAGTCTTATTCATCTTTAAATTCCTAGCACCTAGTACAGTGTCTTAAATTTAGTAATTCATCAATAAGTATTTGCTAAGTAAATACATATTCAGATGGCTGCTGTAGAGTTTCTTCTGGAATTATTTCTGTAGTTTTGCCCAAATAATGGAGTAATCAGAAAGTGAATGTTGCATGTATTGGTAACCCTCACCAATCTTAGTGTCTTATAAAGACACATCTTTCAACATAATTAAGATGCAATAAATAAAAATTGAGGCATGTGATATGGTTTGGCTGTGTCCCCACCCAAATCTCATCTTGAATTGTAGCTCCCATAATCCTCACATGTCATAGGAGGGACCCTGTGGGAGATAATTGAATCATGGGGGCAGTTACCCTCATGCTGTTCTTGGGATAGTGCATGAGTTCTCATGAGATTTGATGGTTTCATAAAGGCCTTTTCCCTCAGTTTTCTCATTCTTCTCTTTCCTGCCACCAAGTGAAGAAGGACGTGTTTGCTTCCCCTTCCACCACGATGGTATGTTTCCTGAACCCTTTGCAGCCCTGCAGAACTGTGAGTCAATTAAACCTCTTTCCTTTATAAATTACCCAGTCTTGGGTATGTCCTTGTAGCAGCGGGAGAATGGACTAATACAGCATGAAAAGGGTATCTAACCTATCTTGGAAGAAAGGTGCTGAGGAGTGGTCAGGAAAATTCCCTGGAGTAGGTACCATCTGATCCTTAAAGATTTCTGGAGGTTGGGGGACAGAAAGAAGAGGAAGAATGGGGAGGGTATTTCAGGCTCAAAATATGTACAAAGTTCCAGCATGGGGGTTTCAAGGAAGCAGCAAGCAGTTCAGATTTACAGGAAGCTAAGTACAAGGCAGTGAAGGGCACTGAAGGGGATGAGGTGAGGAGTATGCTGGGCGCCAGATCATGGAAGTGCTGTGGGGAGGGGACAGAGAACTGTGAAAAGTATTGAGATGTTTGGATGTCATCTTCAGGAGAATACCCTGGAAGATTAATGAACAATCGTTTTGACAGGGATAATATTGAGGCAAGAGGGCAGTTGGAGATAAGGGCCAGGAGAGTGAAAGGAATAGAGATAAAGAAGACAGGACAGATGCCATGAGTGGTTATGAGGCAATATGGACAAATTTGGTGATTACTGGTTTGTGGGAATCAAGGAAGAAAAGAGAATCATGTGAGGTGACAGGTTTCCAGCTAGAGTGATGGATGGACCATAGTGCCACCAAGCAAAATACAAAATGCTATAGAAGGTATATATTTTAAAGTGGGGGAAGTTAAGCTCAGATATGATCATATGAGTCTGAGGGACTATGAGATATCCAAGTGCAGATATTGAGCAAGAAGAAGTCCCAAATTCAAGATAGCTTGGGTTTCATTAGTACATAGGTATCAGTGTATTGAAGAATACAACTATCACCCAAGAAGAGGATAGAATGTAAGAAGAAAAGTTGGCTAAGGACCTGATGCTAGAGAATGCCACCATTAAGAGAAGGCATGAAAAGAAGAATCACAAGAAAAAAGAACCAACAGTAAGATACTGGGAGACAACTCTGGCTTCCCAGAAACCAGGCGAATAGTTTCAGGGTGGGTGAGATCAGTAAGGCTGAATGTCCTGAGGCTTTCTGATTCCACAGAGTAGATAGGGAAGAAGCTACATTAGAGAGAATTATGGAGGGAATGAATAACATCAAGGAACTGGAGGCAGTGAATGCAGAGTACTCTTCTCGGAAGTTAAAATAAGAAGGAAAGAAAATGTATAGTGTGATTGTTAGGAGGAAAATGTAGGTCAAAGGAAGGGTTACTCATATCGACAGAGACTTGAGCATTATAGTTTGAAAATAAGAGTTTTAAGCTGGGCATGGTGGCTCCTGCCTGTAGTTCCAGCTAGCCTGTTCGACGCTGGGGGAGTGAGCTATGATTGCACCACTGCACTCCAGTCAGGGTGACACAGTGAGACCCTGTGTCTAAAAATAGAGAAAGAAAATAAGGAGACAGTGGAAGAGCTGAGACAGCAAGATCCTGGAGAAGATGGAAGGAGTTGAGCATAAGGTCACCAATGGAAGGTTTGATACTTTAACCTCTGAAACAAAAAGAAAAGAAGAATAGGTACGGCCAGAGATAATTTTGAAAGGTATGATGTGTTGAAGAATTCCCCTTGAGGCTCCAGGTTTTTCATCATGTAGGAGGACAGGATATCAGTGAAGAGTGAAAGGGGCAGAAGTCTGGAATAGTCACTGGAGAAAATGAGACAGGAAGTAGAGCAAAGGCATGTAAAGGGATTAGGAGTCTAGGCTAAGGGCTCTGCTAACAGAAGGGTTGGGGTTCTGCAATCAGATGCAGTGAGCAGATAGGGTGTAAGGCCAAGAAAATGCTGGTGAGATATTATCTCAGATGAATAACCTGGGGTCTAGGTCAATAGGAAGGGAAGAAAGTAGAGGAGAGGGCTGACAAAATTTGAGATAATGAAGAGATCAAGGTGTCAGAGGCATTTGAACCAGAGCAAATCCATCTTGAATAGGGGCTGGGTAAAATAAGGCTGAGTCCTGCTGGGCTACATTTACAGAAGCTTAGGCATTCTTAGTCACAGGATGAGATAGAAGGTCAACACAAGATACAGGTCCCAAAGACCTTGCTCATAAAACAGGTTGCAGTAAAGAAGCCGGCCAAATCCCACCAAACCCAAGATGGCCATGAGAGTGACCTCTGGTCATCCTCACTGCTCATTATACGCAAATTATAATGCAGTAGCAGGCTAAGAGACACTCCCACCAGTGCCATGACGGTTTGCAAACACCAGGACAATGTCAGGAAGTTACCCTCTATGGTCTAAAAAAGGGAGAAACCCTCAGTTCCAGGAATTGCTCACCCCTCTCCCAGAAAACTCAGAAATAATCCACCCTTTGTTTACCATATAATTAAGGAGTAACTATACGTGTATTCAGTCAAGCAGCCCATGTCACTGCCTGGCTTATGGAGTAGCCATTCTTTTATTCCTTTACTTTCTTAATAAATTTGCTTTGACTTTACTCTATGGACTCGCCCCCAAATTCTTTTTTGCGTGAGGTCCAAGAACCTTTTTTGGGGGTCAGGATCAGGATCCCTTTCCAATAACAAAGATATCTGAGACTTCAGTGAGGTCATTGAGTAGCTGTAGTGGGAGTTAGAGTGTTCAAGAGCTGATAAGATAAAAGAGGAGGTCAGAGAAAGGAACTTTCTCTGAAGAGAACTTTTTCTGAAAGAAAAAAATCCAGGTGCTGTAAGTTAGGGTCTTATCAGTGTTATTCAGACTAATGCTTTTTTTTTTTTTTTTTTTTTTTTTTTTGATACTGGGTCTCATTCCATTCCACAGGCTGGAGTACAGTGGTGTGCTCATCACTCACTGCAGCCTCGACCTCCCAGGCTAAAGTGATCCTCCCATCTCAGCCTCCCAAGTAGCTGGGACCACAGGCGCATGCCACCATACCTGGCTAATTTTTAACTTATTTGTAGCGACAGGATCTCCCTATGTTGCCCAGGCTGGTCTTGAACTCCTGGGCTCGAGTGATTCTCCCACCTTGGCCTCCCAAAGTGCTGGGATTACAGGCTTAGCCACTATGTCTGGTCTCAGAATAATGCCTTGATTTCTATTTTATAATCTTAGCATTGGCAATAGGCAATTAAATGCACCAGTATAAAGATACTCTTTAAGAAAGTAGAAATAAGCCACTTCATCCCTCCAAATGCAGACTTGGTATGTTTATTGTGGCTGTTATAACATTTCTCGTTGATGAAATCACTGCCAAGTTTATTTTTATAGTCCTCTAAGTAAGATTTCTTGTTCTTATCTTTTTAGGCTTGCTGAGAACTATCGTTTATTACTCCCTTTTCTTAACTTCTACTGTGCCTATAATTCTAAACCATTCAACTGATCTTTGATATATCGTGCTTTGCATTGATAATTATCATCCCATGTAATGATGTGCTGGTAAATGTGTAATATTCAGCTGCAGCCAGGGAAAGCAGGGTGGGTCGACTGATTTTTAGAGTTTGCTGTTTTCCATGCTATAAATATGGTAGCATGGCTGCTTCCAAATTACCAATGTGACATCTCTAAACATGGAGTTAGGAAAAAAAACATATAGTTGTGCGCCATTGTACTGTGTAGTATTTTCTGAGGATATTTTTTTAAAAACCCTCAAGAACACAGACAATGGTAAATTGTAATAAATAAAAAAGAAGTGACGTATTTTGAGTATTTACTGCCTTTGTTCTTTATATAATTGAACTACTAGCTTATATAATTCAATTTTGAATGATGTCAGTGATTGTTTGTTTGTTTGTTTGATTGTTTTTGGCTTAGGTTTGACATCCCAAGATGACAATGTTTAACAACAGGCTTGCCTAATTCCTGAAATTTTAACAATCAACTCTCATAAGCTAATATGAACTGACTTCAACATACCACTGACTTTATGTCTGTATGTTTTATCTTACCACTTAAATTTTAAGCATGTAGAGGCAGGGGTCGTGGCTTAGATATATTTGTATTGTCCATAGTGCTTATCCCATAGTGACTTACTAAATATTTGTTGGATAACAGATATATTTCTGGACTAAAAGCTATATATGACCTGTATAAGTTTCTGGTTGCTACATTAGTTGCTGTAATCACCCTGGTAAATGTGCTGGAAATGTTTGCCCTGGTAAAATGGAGGCTATAGATTTGTGTATCTTGGAAATGAACATGTTTTCTCTGGATGTTGAAGTAGAATATGTCTTCTGTAGGACTACAAGGGCATATCAATCTGCATACGTTTTCACAGTGTTCCTTTATGGTTATGAATGTATCACGAATTGCCAGCATAGTATATAATCAAATTGGATATAAACTTGCATCTATTTCTTAATTAAATGTTTCAGAAATGCACTCCTTTAAAATGCAAGAGTATAATCACTAGCAGTTAATTATATTACAGAAACTAAATGAAACTATGCAATTAATTATGCCATATAAATGATATTTGTGGAATCCAATCTGGTGTCAAGAAATGAAACTGTTTTTAATGTGCTGTGAAGGGTTTTTAATTTGTCTTTCAGTGCAATATGTTATACAGCAAAATAAACATTTCGTCCTTTCTAAATGAGTGAAAAAAAAGTATCTTTCATGAAGTCTACAATTTTCAAGAAAATCACATCTTAGAAAAAGTCACATCTTAGAGATGTGATATGCTGTTCTTCCATTAAATTTCTAATTCTGTTATTTCATTGCTTAAATTTAAAACCTCAGAATTTAAAGGAATTCTAAGTCTGTATATGCAGAGGCTATTTTTTGTGACTCTTTTTTTTTTGTATGAATTTCATTTAAACAGCTCAAGAGCACCTAAAGGACATCATGCATTTTGTTAGGGGGACAGGCTACTCACCATTTTTCCTAGTACTACTTTTAGTTGTTCTCTAAATGTAAAGGTGGGGAAGGAGACCAAGTTCTATAGCTAACAATCAATCTCCTTTCGACTCACCCATTTTTTAGATTAAAAAGCTGAAATTCAGAAAAATTTATTAGGGTTTTGAAAATAAATTTTTAAGAATGGAATTAAATCACCAGAGAAGGGTTATATGTTTTAACCAATCTTTTTTTTAGATAGGTTTATGCTCATCCTTAAGGCTAAATCCGAATAATATGGCTGTTGTTGTTGCAACAAGTCAGATTCTTGTTTGTAGCTCAGCACATTTTTAAACTAGATTTTATTTTTCAGAACAGTTTTAGATTCACAGCAGAACTGAGGGGAAGGCACAGAGATTTCCCACATACTCCCTGTCCCCACACATGCACAGTCTCTCCCGAAATCAAAATCCCACACCACAGTGCTACATTGGTTATAATAATGGACACAAGATTATAAACCAAAGTCCATAGTTTACATTAGGGTTCACAATTGGTGTTGTACACTCCATAGGTTTTGATACATGTGTAATGACATTATCCCCCATTACAGTATCATACAAAGTAGTTTCAGTGCCCTAAAATTCTCTATGCTCCCTCCCTCCCCTCAAAGCCCTGGAAACCACTGATCTTTTTACTGTCTCCACAGTTTTACATTTTCCAGAATGTCGTATAATTGGAATCATACAGTATGTAGCCTTTTCAGTTTGGCTTCTTTAACTTAGTAATATGCATTTAAGGGTCCTCCATGTCTTTTTATGGCTTGATAGCTCATTTCCTTTTAGCACTGACTAATATTCCATCATCTGGATTACCAGAGTCTGTGTATCCATTCAGCTACTGAAGATTTCTTTGTTGCCCCCAAGTTTTGGCAATAATGAATAAAGCTGCTATGAACATCCATGTACAGATTTTTGTGTGAATATACGTTTTCAACTTCTTTGGGTAAATACCAAGTAGTATGACTGCTGGATCATGTAGTAAGGGTATGTTTCATTTTCTTAAGAAACGGTCAAGCGGAATTCTAAAGTCACTGCACCATTTTGCATTCCCATCAGCAATGAATGAGAGTCCCTTTTGCTCCACACCCCACCAGCATTTGGTGGTGTTAGTGTTCTGGATTTTGACCACTCTAATATGTATGTACTGGTATCTTATTTTAATTTACATTTCCTTCATGACTTAAAGTGTTTTGCATCCTTTCTTATGCTTATTTCCCATCTGTGTATCTTAGTATTTATTCAGATCTTTTGTTTATTTTTCAATTGGGTTGTTGGTTTACTTATTATAAAGTTGAAATAATTTTTTGTATATTTTGGATAACAGTCCTTTATCAGATATGTCTTTTGCAAATACTTCCTTCCAGTCTGTGTCTTGTCTTCTCATTCTCTTGGCAGAGTCTTTTGCAGAGCAGAAGGTTTCAATTTTAATGAAGTACAGCTCATCAATTATTTCTTTGTTCTAGAACCATTTGTTAAAAAGAATATCTTGCTCCATTGTATTCCCTTTGCTCCTTTGTCAAAGATCTGTTGACTATATTTATGTGGGTCTATTTCTGCTTTGTTGATCTATTTTTTCCATTGTTTTACAATACCGCACTATCTTTATTACTATAGCTTTATGTCTTGACTTGTCAGTCCTATGATTTGTTTCTTCCTCTTCATTATTGTGATGAATACTCAAGACCTTTTGCTTTTCCATATAAATGTTAAAATGAACTTGTCAAGATTCACAAAATAACTTCCTGAATTTTGGGTGAGATCGCATTGACTCTACATATCAAGTTGGGAAAAACTGGTATCTTGACAATAGTGAGTCTTCTATTCATGAACGTGGAATATCTCTTCATTTAATTCCTTGATTTCTTTAATTGGAGTTTTGTGGTTGTCCTCATTTGGATCTTGCATATTTTGTTAGACTTATACCTAAGTATTTCATTCTCAAATGCGAATGTAGATGGCATTGTGTTTCTTTTTTTTTTTTTTATTTTTTTATTTTTTTGAGATGGAGTCTTGCTCTGTTGCCCAGGCTGGAATGCAATGGCACAATCTCGGCTTACGGCAACCTCTGCCTCCTGGGTTCAAGCAATTCTCCCACCTCAGTCTCCCAAGTAGCTGAGATTATAGGCACCCACCATCATGCCTGGCTAATTTCTGTATTTTTGTAGAGACAGGGTTTCACCATGTTGGCCAGGCTGGTCTTGAACTCCTGAGCACAGGTGATCTGCCCGCCTTGGCCCCCCAAAGTGCTGGGATTACAGGCATGAGCCACTGTGCCCAGCCTATGTTTTTAATTTAAAATGCCACTTGTTAATTGTTAGGATATAGGAAAGTTATTGACTTGTATATAATAACCTTGTATTGTGCAAACATGCTATACCTGATCTTAGTGGGAAAACTGTCCAGTACTATAGATGATGTTAACTGGAGGTTTTTTGTAGATGTTTTTTACAAGTTGATGATGTTCCCTCTATTCCTACTTTGCTAAGTGTTTTTATAGTAACTCCTGTTTTCTTTTGATAAGTGTTAGCATGGTATATCTTACCCTATCCCTGTACTTTTAATCTATATGTGCCATTATATTTAAAGTGGGTTTCTTATAGACAACATAGAGTTAGGTCTTGTTTTGTGATCACTCTGACAATCTCTGTCTCTTAACTACTGTATTTAGACCATTGACTTTTAAAGTAATTATTGACATAGTTGGATTAATATCTACTATATTTGTTATTGTTTTCTATTAATTGCTGCTTTTCTTTGTTTCTATTTTTGTCTTTTACTCTTTTTCTGCCTTTTGTGTTTTAAAATAAACACTTTACATGATTTCATTTTCTCTATTTTCTTAGAATATAAGTTACACATTTTTTAAAAAACAATTTTTCGTGGTTGACCTATCATTTGCAATATACATTTACAACTAATCCAAGTCCACTTTCAAGTAACACTGTACTACACAGGCAGTACAAGTATATTAAAATAAACAAAAATCCTAATTCCTTCCATTATTTGTATTATTGCTGTCATTTATTTTGCTTACACATAGCAAATATACCATATATACATACATATATGTTTATATGTGTATATATTGTGTATATAATTGAATACATTGCTGTCATTATTATTTGAACAAATTATCTGTTAGAAAAGTTAAGAATAACAAAAATAACAATTTTTATTTTACCTTTACTTTTTCTTCCTCTGATGCTGTTCTTTTCTTTATATAGATGCAAGTTTCTGACTTACGGCTTTTCTTTCTCTCTGAAGAACTTCTTTTACCCTTTCTTGAAAAGCAGGTATACTGATAGCATATTTCCTCAATTTCTGTTTGTCCGAGAAAGTTTTATTTCTCCTTCACTTTTAAAGGCTAATTTCACGGTATACAGAATTCTAGGCTGGTAGGTCTTCTAACACTTTAAATATTTCACTCAACTGTTCTTGCTTATGATTTCTGAGGAAAAATCACAAGTAATTCTTGTCTTTGCTTTTCTACAGATAAGTTGTTTTTTTCCCCTCTGGCTCATTTCAAGTTTTTGTTTTTTTTTTGACAGAGTCTCCCTCTGTCGCCCAGGGTGGAGTGCAGTGGTGTGATCTCGGCTCACTACAACCTCCGCCTCCCAGGTTTAAGCAATTCTCCTGCCTCAGCCTCCTGAGTAGCTGGGATTACAGGTGTGCGCCACCATGCCCAGCTAATTTTTGTATTTTTAGTAGAGACGGGGTTTTACCATGTTGGTCAGGCTGATCTCTAACTCCTGACCTTGTGATGCACCCACCTTGGCCTCCCAAAGTCCTGGGATTACAGGTGTGAGCCACTGCGCCCAGCCAGTTTTTTTCTTTATGTTTACTTTTCTGCTGTTTGAACATGATATGCCTAGGTATAGTTATTTTTTGGCATTTATCCTTCTTGGTGCTTTCTGATATTACTGGATCTGGGGTTTGGTGTCTCATTTTAATTTGTGGACATTCTTAGTCATTACTTCAAATGTACCTTTTCTTCCTTTCTCCCTTTCTTCTTCTGGTGTTCTCATCACACATATGTTACACTTTTCACAGTTGCCCACAGTTTTTGGATATCCTATGGTTTTTTTTGTTTTGTTTTGTTTTTTCAGTTTTTTTCCTCTTTGCTTTCTGTTTTTGAATCTTCTATAAATTCTTTCCTCAGCTACGTCCGGTATACTAATGAGCCCATCAAAGGCGTTACTCATTTCTATCAGTGTTTTTGATCTTTAGAACTTTTTATTCTTAGAATTTTCATCTCTCTGTTTACAATGCCCGTCTGTTCTTGTCTGCTGCCTGCTTTATCCGAGCCCTTAGCCTGTTAATTGTAGTTGTCTTACATTCCCATTCTGATAATTCCAACCTCCTTGCCATGTCTGCATCTGATTCTGATGCTTGTTCTGTCTCTTGGAGTTGTAGTTTTTGCCTCATTAATTTTGATGCTCTGTTGTTAGGTGCATCTGCATTAAGGATTGTCAGAGCATCTTTAAGAATTGACCCCTTTATCATTATGTAATGCCCTTCTTTATCCCTGACAATTTTCCTTGCACTGATATCTGTTCTATATAAAACTAGCATAGCTTCTTCTGCTTTCTTTTGATAAGTTTTAGCATAGTATATCTTTCTGCATCTTTTTATTTTTAGCCTATATGTGTCTTTATATTTAAAGTGTGTTTCTCATAGACAGCATATAGTTGGGTCTTGTTTTTTTGATCACTCTGACAATCTGTTTTGTGCCTTTTAGTATGCCTTGTAATTTTTTTCTTGATAGCTGGACATGATTTACTGGGTAAAGGGAACTGCTATAAATAGGCCATTAGTAACATGTCAGTAAGCTGTGGGGGAAGGTGAATCCTGTGAGTAAGTCTCCTTCTTTTGATGAGCCTGTGTGTCTGGATTGCGAATTTCACAAGTGCTTGTCAGTCTTCCTCACCCTCCCTCTTAGGTGCGACCAGAGGTTAGAGTGGATGTTTTCCTTCCCTCTGTGAGTTATTCCCTGACAAAGTTCCAATAGCTTAGACTCTGATAACATAGTTTCTCTTGAGGGCATACCTTGGAAAGAACAACATGTTCTGGCACGTTTCAAAATGGTGCCTTTTCCTTCCCCTCCGCCAGAAGTAAGAGAGAATTTTTCACTGATACTCACTTTAAGAATCTGTTGAACTCCTGGAAGTAAAACTCACAAAAGCATAGGGGCCCCTATGACTGGGCACCCCTGGAATTTTTAACTCTAAAATTGTCCATGCTGAGCACTTGTCCATTACAATTTAGGTTTTCCTGCCCTATACTGGTTATTCAGGGGGTTCCTGCCCATGAATTTCTGCTCCAGTAAGTTGTGATTCCCAGTGTTTGCCCCTCTGTCTCTCCAATGTGGGGGCAACAAAACTGCCTTGTGACCTTACTTCTCTGATGGATCTAAGAAAAATTATTTATTTTTTAGTTTGTTACATTTTTACTTGTTAGGATGGAATGGCAACTTCCAAGCTCTTTACATGCCAGACTGGAAGGCAGCCAGGAGTCTCGATGAGCTTTTCTGAGACATCTTTATTAGGGTATGTAATACCCCAATAGGTATCATAACATTTGCATATCATAAAATTCACTCATTGTAAGCGTACAACTCAATAATTTTTAGTAAATTTAGAGAATTGTGTAACAATCAACAGTCGCCACAATAAGTTTAGAACATTTTCATCACCCAAGAAAGTCCCCTTGTGCCCATGTGGGATCCCTGCTTCTACCACCAGTCCTAGGCAACCACTGATGTACTTTCTGTGTCTATAAATGTGCCCTTTTTTTGATATTACATATAGATGGAATCATACCATATGCAGTCTTTTTGTCTGGCGTCTGTTATTCAGCTTAATGTTTTTGATATTCATTCATGTTGTAGCATACATCTCAATGCAATTTTAAAACCCCAAATTAAGATACAATATCGGTTTTCTAGTTATTAATACATATTTAACCAGATTGAAAATAAGACAATATTCAAATGAACCTTTCTATGAGGATGCCAACTTGTATATTACACATGAAACATGATTACTGGTCTACAGATCATACTCACAAGCTCTTGGTTAGCCAACTGACCTGTAAGAATGATTTTAAAATTATAAAATTTTACCAACAGAACTATATTTTGAAATATGTTATAGATGCACTCGTATTGATTAATTTCAGTAGATGATAGAAATAAACAACAAATGGGCACAGTTGATGTTAGGACACGTCATGTTCAAATTTGCATAAGTGGCTTCAATTTCTTCCTGAGAAATCTAATTAACCTTCCCAAACAAATGGAATAGTTAATGTCCGATTTTTTTAAAGCCAGTTTGAAAGTTTCAAAGCTGTCATGGTTTTATCATTGTAAAAAGCTTGAAATTCACAGACTGTTCATGTATATAAATTACTATACTTACAAATTATCCTCGAGTCTCTTCAAGGATTCCAAAACTAATGAATGATTACTGTCTAAGGAGCAGGATCCAAAACAATTTAGGGCTGAAATATATCTAATTTTCATAACCCAGTCATTATGTAGCTTCCTTTTAACACTGGGGATTAAGAAAAGGCAGGGGAGATTTATGTTAGACACACAAACGTATAATATGTTTCTATTCAGCAATTTACTTTGACTGTAACTGAATTGTACTAAACCCAAATGTAGAATACAGCCCAATGCATTATAACACCTTTTTTTTTTTTTTTTTAGATGGAGTCTTGCTCTCTCGCCTAGGCTGGAGTGTGCAGTGGTGCGATCTCGGCTCACTGCAACCTCTGCCTCCTGGGTTCAAGCAATTCTCTTGCCTCAGCCTCCCGAGTAACTGGGATTACAGGTGTGCACCTCCATGCCCAGCTAATTTTGTATTTTTAGTAGAGACGGGGTTTCATAATGTTGGCTAGGCTGGTCTCGAACTCCTGACCTCAGGTGATCTGCCTGCCTCGGCCTCCCAAAGTACTGGGGTTACAGGCATGAGCCATTGCACCTGGCCCACTTTTAACTGTTTATTTATAATCAAGCATACTTAAAATGGAAAAGTAACTTTAAAAGACTCTTCAAAATTTGAGCTGTGAATTCAGAATTAAAAGAACAATCTAGAAGAATCCCAATTCAATAATGGCACTATTGATTTTATTTTACTAGAAAATTTCTAATGATCCAAATGGAGCAGTATGCTTCATATTCTTTTATATCTTATTTGAATCAATCCATCTGAAAATATATTTTCCATTAGTACTTTTCAAACTGAAGTACTGGGCAATGTAAAATCTGAGATCACTGGTGAAGCTGAGTGGGGGATAGTGATAATATTCCTTGTCAGAGTGTTGGCCATCAGTTCACAAAACATTTGAATGTGGGGCTTAAGGTTACAGACAAAACCTCTGCCTCAAAATTCTGTCTTCATGGTGTTATATTTACCAATATTTAATGGCTTATTTGTCTCCTCATTCACATCTATTGAACACCTACTGCATCCCAGGTACTAAGGACACAAGGATGATTAAGGTAAAAATTCTTGTCACCAAGTTGCTTAAATTCTAGTTGAGGAATAGAAATGTTTACAGCTCAAGGCATGAAAGTTCTACAATATGACATTAAACAGAGTGGGGAGGGAGCTTTCTATTCTCATGCCAGATATGTTTGAACTCTGGATCCTGGCTACTTCTTTCTTTAATTTGTATAATGGTTTGCATATCAGTGTTTACTACCCCCATATCCACCCATTCAACAAGAATGAATTCTGTGGATGTCAGCTGCAGGAAAACTTGTATGATAGCTCCAGAATTTAATTAACTCTTTGGCCTTAATACTTGTCATTCTGGTGAGGTTTGAAGATCTCTTGGTGTAAGAAAATGCCGCAACACTCAGCCTATATATACACCGTAGTCTTGAATGATTTAAATCATCTGCATGATTAAATCATCTACATGAATATAATAACCACAAGAACCAACATGAATTAGCATTCATTTAACTGTACCCAGATTCCTTAACTTCCTCAGACTTCTAAATCTCATTTTTCACATATCTATCTAATGAAAACAGGGATTGGGATTGAAAAATGAGCCATGGAATTTTCTGACAGGTGGCACACATATTAATAAAAAGCAGATTCATGTCTCAGCATCTATTCTAAAAGCCTAGCATAACTAGAATGAAATGCTTAATAGTATATAGAGCAGCACATCACAGATTGGGGAAGTCCTCCATCAGGTCTAATTCTTTGTTGGGACTAAGTAATACTGCTTATATGTGAAGGATGGAAAATGGAGCCAGTAAATTTTATTGTACCATTCTTAGGGCTCCAGCAATGGGACTAGTCTTAATTCCACGTAGTATCAGTTGTAATGAGCTTTTAATTGCATATTCTAACTCTGGGATAAAGTATTTGTTACATAATAACAAAGTATAATCCATTTTTTAATGTCTTTATAAGGAAAAAATGTTCATTGTACAAAATTTAGAAAACAAATAAAATTTTAAAAATCACCTCTTTGAAGTCCTATAGAAATTATTTATTAAAGTTTTGGATACTTATACTCAATATTTTTCTAAGTAGAAATACACACACATATACACATTTATAAGACTGGATTCATATATACATAAAAAATTAATTAAATTAAAATTTTTTTATCCCCCAAATTCATCTGTTGAAAGATAAATAATTTTTACTTGACATTATGTCATAAACACTTTTCATGCCATTAAATATTTTTTAAAACAATTAAATGGGTGCATGACATATGGTTATACTATGATTTACTGAACATCCTTGAAATCTGAATGTATTTTAGGTGTCAGACAAAAAATGTATTTTATATATAAATATATATCATTTATGTTTATATTATATATTTATATATCTGAATTATTTATGTAAATGATTAATATCTAAAGTAACCATTCCCCTTTTATTGGACACTAGATAATTTACCATCAGAAATAATGCTGTGGGCCAGGCACGGTGGCTCAAGCCTATAATACCAGCACTTTGGGAGGCCGAGGCGGGCAGATCACAAAGTCAGGAGTTTGAGACCAGCCTGACCAACATGGTGAAACCCCGTTGCTACTAAAAATACAAAAATTAGCCTGGCGTTGGTGGCACGTGCCTGTAATCTCAGCTACTCAGGAGGCTGAGGCAGGAGAATCGCTTGAACCCGGGAGGCGGAGGTTGCAGGGAGCCGAGACTGCGCCACTGAACTCCAGCCTGGGCGACAGAGTGAGACTCTGTCAAAACAGGAAAGAAAGGCAAGGCAAGGCGAAGCTGTGATAACCATACTGATATTTTTGAAGATAGGGATACCAAGTCCCAATGTATTAATGGTTATGAAGGCACTTGATGCAGCTTCCGAAATTCTTTCCAGAAAGGTGGATCCAACTCATACTTTTACCACCAACTAATGTGAGAATGCCCAGCTCACAGCGTCTTCCCCATTTTTAATCATTTCTGATTTTATAAGTGAAAAATTGTATCTGATTTTAACTTGTACTTCTATGATAAATAAGGAAGACCATTTAATATAAAATTTAGGTTTTTCGGCTAATAAAAGTAATACATACCTTTCTCAAAAACTTTAAAGACATTGCAATTATAAGGAAGATGATAATTATCAGTTGGGGATAACTATTGTTAGCATTTTTTTCTGATGATCACTTTGAAATGTTTGTTGACCATTTGTACTGTGTGCACATGTTTGTGAATTACATGTTCATGACCTTTGCTCATTTTTCTCTTGGAGGATTATATCTTTTAATTGAACTCTAAGACCTGTTAAAAATATCAACCCATTGTCTGTCATATTTGTCACAAATATTTATTCCAGTTTGCTTTTAAAATACTAGCTTTTGATGTCCAGAGGTTTTATTTTGTATATAGTCAAATCTATCAAACTTTTTCTTTGAATTCTATATCCATTGCTTTTATATTTAGAACTTTTCCTATCTTCAAGTGCTAGTAACTAGTCACATGTATCTTTTATAGTTTTTTTCACGATTTAATTTTTTCATTTAACTTTTCAATCTACTCAAGTACCTGTAAGTTTTAGTTGTCAATAGCACTTAAATTAGGAGCTATTACACTGATGGTTTCTTGAGGCCAGAAGCATTTCACTCTGTGTGTGTGTGTGTGTGTGTGTGTGTGTGTGTATACATGAACAATGACTATAATTAATTGTTTATATTACTTTAATTTTGTCTTAATTTCTTATTTTCTGTAATTTAAATCTCATTTTTCACTTTGTACCATAAAGCTTACTTGCAAAAGACTATAATTATTAAAAGAATTAAATTAACTGTATGATACTCTTACCTTTTAAAGTTCTTTGAGTCTAAGACCTGATTTTGTAATTTTCTTTTGGATTTTGCCTGCTTTATTCCAAAGTCATCACTGTTGACTGTGAATCTGTTCACAAAACCCCCATCATCCCCCAAGAGGATGTCATCTCGGCAGAGATGGTCAGGCAAAGGCACCACACACACACACAGGAGGCAGTGATCCATTGGTTTTATGACAAAATAATTTTCCTAGAAACAGAAAAATGACTTTAATGAATTATTACTTTGCTCTGTTCAATAAATATTTCCCCTATTATTTGACAAAAATTTCACTTTCCGCTGTTTCTTATTGTAGATACACCTATCTTATAAGATAATTTGAGAAAAAAACCAGTTAACCAAATAAAAGTTACAGAACACTCGCTGTGAGCCCAACATTGTTATTTTGGGTGTTTTGTGGAGAAAGGAGTAGAGTGCCTACCCCTGGGCCAATAAGTAATGAGATTTTTCTGATGCGTGACTGTAAATGGCCTTTTTTTGGATTTATAAGAAAACATTAAAGTAAGCATAACAAGGTTCAGGTGTTACCAGACTGTTGACATTAAACTGGGTGGCAAACAGGAAAATCAAATATCAAAGTCCCAAGGAGTCACCAGAAGAAAAAATATCCTACCATCCAAGTTTATTCAGAAATATTTAGCATTTGTCAAGCTTATTTTGTACTATTGAATGGGGCCACTAAGCTATACAGCTATTGCTCTTCCAGGATTCAGTCTCTATAAATTTGTTCAGTCAACAAACATTTATCTATATATTTCCTTCTGTGTGCCAAGAACTATTGCAGCACGACTGTGCAATGATGTACAAGACAGTTTCTGACTTTGTAGAGCTACTATTCTGGTAGAAGTGCATTTAAGGAAATAAATTATAGTGCTCTGATACACAGTGACTGAAAAGGCCACATCAGGTCCCATGGCCAGAGAAAGTAACATTTGATCTGGGACCTGAATTGATTGAGAGGAAGATTAAGAGGAGGTTGAGAGGAAGGAGTCTAGCAGGAGAGTGAAATCATTCTTCACTGAACTAGAAAAAAAATCCTAAAATTCATATGGAGCCAAAAGAGAGCCTGCATAGGCAAAGCAAGACTAAGCAAAAAGAACAAATCTGGAGGCATCACACTATCTGATTTCAAACTATACTATAAGGCCATAGTCACCAAAATAGCATGGTACTGGTATAAAAATAGGCACATAGACCAATGGAACAGAATAGAGAACTCAGAAATAAATCCAAATACTTAACAGCCAACTTATCTTCAACAACGCAGACAAAAACATTAAGTGGGAAAAGGACACCCTATTCAACAAATGGTGCTGGGATAATTGGCTAGCCACATGTAGGAGAATGAAACTGGATCCTCATCCCTCACCTTATACAAAAATCAACTCAAGATGGATCAAGGACTTAAATCTAAGACCTGAAACTATAAAAATTCTAGAAGATAACATTGGAAAAACCTTTCTAGACATTGGCTTAGGCAAGGATTTCATGACCAAGAATCCAAGAGCAAATGCAATAAAAAGAAAGATAAATAGCTGGGACTTAATTAAGCTAAAGAGCTTTTGCACGGCAAAAAGAAGCCAGCAGAGTAAACAGACAACCCACAGAGTGGGAGAAAATCTTCACAATCTACATCTGACAAAGGACTAATATCCAGAATCTACAAGGAACTCAAACAAATTAGCGAGAAAAAAAACAAACAATCTCATCAAAAAGTGGGCTAAGGACATGAGTAGACAGTTCTCAAAAGAAGATATACAAATGGCCAACAAAAATATGGAAAAAAATGATCAGCGTCAAATTAATGATCAGGAAAATGCAAATCAAAACCACAATATGATACCATCTTACTCCTGAAAGAATGGCCATAATCAAAAACCCAAAAAATAATAGACGTTGGTGTGGATGCAGTGAAAAGGGAACACTTCTACACTGCTGGTGGGAATGTAAACTAGTACAACCACTGTGGAAAACAGTATGGAGATTCCTTAAAGAACTAAAAGTAGAACTACCATTTGATCCAGCATTCCCACTACTGGATATCTACCCAGAGGAAAAGAACTCCTTATATATAAAAGCTACTCGCTCACTCATGTTTATAGCAGCACAATTCGCAATTGCAAAAATGTGAAACCAACCCAAATGCCCATCAATCAATGAGTGGATAAAGAAACTGTGGTATATACATATACAATGGAATACTACTTAGCCATAAAAAGGGATGAATTAATGGCATTCACAGCAACCTGGATGGGATTGGAGACTATTATTGTAAGTGAAGTAACTCAGGAATGGAAAACCAAACATCATATATTCTCACTCATAAGAGGGAGCTAAGCTTTGAGGATGCAAAGGCATAAAAATGACACAATGGACTTTGGGGACTCTGGGGAAAAGGGTGGGAAGGGGGTAAGGGATAAATGACTACAAATTGGGTTCAGTACATACTGCTTGGGAGATGGGTGCACCAAAATCTCACAAATCGCCACTAAAGAGCTTACTCATGTAACCAAATACCACCTGTTCCCCCCAAACCTATGGAAATAAAAAAATTTAAACAATTTTTAAAGAGAGAGAGAGAGAGAGAGAAGAGGCTGTAGAGCCTTGTCCTGGCCAAGACAGGAGGGGAGGGGGTGTCAAATGCAAGGATATTTTGCCTTCAGAGAGAGGACGAAAGTAAGGATGTGGTTTCCAGTTAAATCTGTAGGTGACAGCACTGGAATTTGAAAGAGGACAAGTCTGATAGTAGACTCAGTTTTTGCAGGAAAATAGAGTGCAAGTCCATCTACTAGAGGGAGAAGCCTGAGAAGAATACTGAAATTGTGGATGACTTACAAGAAATGGGCCAGTGAGCTGGTTAGAGCCAGAAAGAGATTGATGGAAGCTACTGCAGACCCGAAGTTCATAATTGTGCCAAATAGCACTGTTTAGTTTTTTTCAGCAGTGCTTAGCCACTGTGAAGGAGCAGAGAAGGGCTAGGGCATCCCTCCAGGTTGAAGGACAAAGATCGAAGAGAATGAAGGGTGAGGCTGACCAGTTCAGATGATACCCCCAGAGGGTGTAGGCAAGAAGGGAAGAAGAGAAGAGTTGACGGAGAGTGAAGACTGGAACATGATGTTTTCAAGGAACTAAAGGCTTCTATGGGATTGAAAAGCAAGAGTGAAAACAGAACAGCATGAGGAGAAGAGGTAATGATCAAAGTTCAGGATCTTGGAGTTTAGGGGTTTGGAAATTAATAAAACCTGGTCTATAACACAGCACATAATAAAGTACGTTGACCAACAAGCTGCTGTCTTTAAAATTATTCTGGCATCACTAGTTGGTTACAACATTATGAACAAATAGCAAAAGAAGGTTAGTTTTTTACCAAGGCTAGGAACAAGAAAGGCATGAAGGAAGGTTAATTTATTTCTTAATCCTCCATGTCCTTCAAAGTCAGTCTGCTTCCTGAAGACATTTTTAAATAACCTCGGTGCTCAGTGATCTCACCCTCCCTGAGTCCCCGTTGCACCATATAATTTGCTGTATCATCATATTATATATTATGTTTATTCATGAGGAACTTCAAGACTGAGTTTTGTTTGAGTGCAGAGAACATAATCCTTACTTCTAAGTGTCTGCAAATGCCCAATAAATACTGTAGATTGGTTAAGCAGTAACATCTCAGCCACTGAAGGGCTGCCTCATTAGATGTTTTTGCCGGACTTAGACATTTGATTTTAGTAATTTTCTTACCTAATGAAGCTGGACTCGGGAGAAAAGACTTGAACTTGATAACATGAGTATACCCAAAGAAAGATAATACTTGGATTCAGAGAAGGGTATAAAAGAAGAAAGGAATTACCCCCTCTCTCAAAAACAACCCAACCGCCACTGAACTAAATATACACTAAATGAAAAGAATAGTCCCTTTTAATTAGAGAGTATACATGCTGAACTTGATCTAAGAGATTACTTACTTAAATCCTCTCATTTTATAGATGAAGAAACTGATGTTCAATAGAGAAAGTGGATTGCTCATATCGTACCACTACTGAAAAGACAATCTCATTTCTTTGAGTATTTCTCTTGGCACAATACCTGGCTGCTCCCTTGAGCTTTATAATCCCAGACAATAATGGTCCTTTCGGTTGTGGCTACGATTCGTTTCAGCTGCAAGAGGTAATCACACCCTGTAATCCAGGAGGTGTCCTGATAGAAAAGCAGAGAATTGGGGGATATAATGCATTTCCTTCAATGACCTGGTGATGGTCACCAAAGAGCAGGTTAGTCACACTAAAAGCTCCATTTTGCTGCCTTATTACAGAGAAGCCTTGCAGTACATCCTGTCTGAGTGTCTGGGATACAGGCTCCCATCTTTTCCCCTTTCACCCTTACCCTGAGTTTCTCAGTACTATCAGCTGGAGAATGATTCAGTTAGCGATAGGATTGCTCCCTGGAAGCACACAGCAGTTGGTGGAGCATCTTTGTGCACTATTCACTGCTGTGAGACTGCTTCTTCACATGGGCAGTAGGAGACTAGATTTAGGGCACTGATTAAGCGAGCTCTCGAGCCCTGTCCCCATGCTAGAAAACAAAGACCTTAGTAATTACCTGGTCCATGATAAGTGGAGCCCAAGGAGAATTTCTTGTGTCCTACCTAAAGACACCAAGCTGGCATGGCTAGGATTTGTAATATCAACAACACACTCCTGAACAGAAACAGAAGCTTCCATTTATGACTGCTGCATGCATTTCAGGCATGGCCTCTAACTTTCTGTAAAACCTGTTAGAAATTCCAGTGTTGGCTTTTTTTTTTTTTTTTTTTTTTTTTTTCAGTTTAAGAAATGGAGGTTCAGAAGTTTACAGAGAATCCAGACTCCTTTGCCAGGCAGCATGGCACCCTTCTTTGTAGTTCAGGGTATTCAGTGCATGCAAGCAATGAAAAAGTCCAGCATTCTCCCAGCTCTCGTAAATCCATAATGAGATTCTGCAAGCAAGTCACTGTAGCTTTACAACATCTGCTGCAATTACTATTCCGATTAATGATGTGGATTAAATAAATCACAAAATTGTACTCAAACTTTTAATGTTATTTTCAACTTTAAAATAAAAATATTTTCTAACTATTTCCATGGGCCACCTCCTTATTCTTACAACTTAGGTTGTGTCCATTCTTTACATTCTCCAACAGCAGATGCTCAGAAAAACTCAGAAGCTTTTAAATTGAAGCTTCCAAGGAGTAACCAGTTTCCAAGCAATTCTCTGCAGTCAGTTTAACTCCGGAAAGCAAGACCTGGGTCCTCTTTGCTGTTGCTCAAGGCTTAGGTTTGATCCTAGTCAGTAAACATAAATTTATAATATATGAAACATATACCCAGAGCCTATTCAGTACTTCATTGAGATTTTAATTAATTGTGAAGGAAACATCATCATAGCCCTAACTTTGACTTAATTAGGAATTTTTAAAGTGTACTTACTGTAACATTGGTGCTGGTCTGAACTCTCATCTATGAACAAAGGAAGAGAATAATGAAACCTAGTTGGCACTACCATTAAAGATGAGAATGCTGACTCTAAAACAACACAGTATCTTCTTGGTTTAATCTCAGTTGTCATTCTGCCTTCCATAAGTCTCCTCCCTGTTTCTCCTTCTGAAACATCTAGCTCTGTGGAATAATGCACACTGTTTGCTGTGAGCAAGGCTTATACCTCTGTGGCTCATTGTTAAACCTGGTGACTGTGCTGTTAACACTTCACTAATCATTGTCTTCCTTCTTTATGCAAACTACATCATATTTTTTTTAGTTGTTTGGAGCAACATTTGATGCCAAAAAAATAGGAATGCAAAATAATCTAACAGCAATGGCAAGAGTAGTTACATGAATGCTAAATAGATCAATATTTAATAGAGTGATGGAGAAAAACTACCATTGTTTTGTTTAAAGTTATCTCTCCAAGTTGAGACTTAAAAGAACATTTTACCCAGTGGGCCTCCTCTTTTATTCAGTAAGCACCTATTGAGTGAATATCATGCATTGGGTACTATACCAGTTAAGAACCACAGATTTATCCCATGCAGAGAGCTACTGTATATATGAGCAGCCTTTCATACTCTTGTGGCATGGAAATTGCTCCCAAGATGAAGGCAAGTAGTTGAAGTATTTCACTGACCTTGTTTCTTTTACATGCTCAGATGGCCTTGAGAAGTATCTAGGAAACAGCGGCCCAGAAGAAACGGATTATGTGAAATAGAGAAAGTAGATCAGAGAGATCACTAAAGCTGTTAGTCATGGCTACCCACAGACTGTCTTTCATCTGAAGAGTTCAAAAAGGCTTTTCTAACCCGGGACTGACTTCTAGGTGGAAAAAATACATCGCTGTAAGAAAACCGGTGAGTAGCAGAACAGAACACCTGTGGTTTCTGTTTCTCTTTCTCTATATATATCTTTAATGGAAGTCACCTGTTTAAAGTCCTCTCAGCTTCTTTAAAAGTTTCATAATCCTTACAGATATATTTTGAATTTTTAATTTCTTACTTTGGTAAGATACTAAAAATTTACTTTTATTAATAGCATTTAATGTTTATATCACCAAGAAAATCCTGAACTATATTTATTGTACTTCAGATAGAGCCTAAATTATGAATTAATCCAAGATATTTTGAGTTGTTAATGGCTACCTTTGAATAAATTACTCCTGTGACCTACACTTCCAGCTTAACTTTTTTCACATGATGTGTCATATTTGTAAGGCTTGCAACAATCAAAACAATATTATTCCTGCTGTATTAAATCTTAAAATAATTAATTTTGGGCTGGGCATGGCTCACTCCTGTAATCCCAGCAATTTGGGAGGCCATGAGGTGGGAGGATGGCTTGAGACCATGAGTTCAAGACTAGTCTGGACAACACAGCGAGACCCTGTTTCTACAAAAAAAAAAAAAAAAAACCATTAATTTTTTAGCCATTTTTTCCTCCAGTTACATTATCTTATAAAAAACATATGTGTTTGCACGTTTGTGAGTATACACGTGCCCATCTGTAAGCTTTTGTGTGTATGTGCATGTTTGTAAAGCATCTCTGGAAATGTGATAATGCCGCCTGACTTATTTCACATCATTCTGAATGTTTTAGTATGCACATAATTATTTTCCTTCTCCTATTATTTTCTAGATACCATCTTAGTTCTGTTTTTGAGGTAATAAAGGTAACAAAAGAGAAGGGGAATAATGCACCAAGAGAAAAAGATCAAGAAGGTTTTTATATATAAATGAGGCAAATTCATTTTTGTTTTCACATTATTTGTTTATTATAGCAATGGCCAATATTTGCTGAGGAACTCTAATGATGCTAAGCACTTCATGAGTATTAACTCACTTAAACAGCAAGAAAGAAGGTCTATGATTCGGGATGAGGAACCAGGGCATGCAGATATTAAATAACACGCACAGCTGTAAGTGTTAGTGCGAGGCTGGAGCCCAGACTCCACGCCCACACTCTGCATCCCTCACTGCACCACCTCCAGGGCCCACACAGCCCCCTCCTCTGACAGAATCTGGCTGTCTGTGACTTCAACTTCTGAAAGATTTCCTGAGCTGGAGATTACTGAAGAACTGAAAATTATGATAAAATTTTAATCACATAATGATTATTTCAAAGGTATTTTACTTGCATAAAGCTTGTTTCTAGTTGGAAATGAACTAATCATTAGGATTTTTAAAATAATTAACACCAAAGATTCATCTTTTATTTTCATAGCAAAATATTATGTAGGGTATATTGTAACATATTCCATTAAAGTGAAAGTCCAAAATTACAAATTTAGAAATGACATTGATAACAGCAAAGCCTTACATTCATGTAGGAATTTATTGCTCATAAAGTGTTTCTACACTCATTCTCTCATTTGACCCTCACTACAATCCTTTGAGGGAGGACAGGTTTTATTGTCCTCATTCTACAGATGTAAAAAAAGAGATGTGAAAGATATGTAAGTGGCTCACTAAGCTCCCTACTTAATGACATAATTAGTAAAACAGTAGGGCGAGAATTTGAGCAATTCATTTTTATTTCAAGTCCAAAGTTCCTGATGGGACCTTTTATTAATCACTTGGCTTGTCAGTGTTTCTGATTTTAACTGAGATATTATCCAGGATCATCTTTTAATTGTGTTGATGCCACATGGTTCCATATGACACCCTGAGGAACAATGCCAAATGCAGTCACCAGTTTCAAAGAATTGCCACAGAGCACAGCAATCTCCTCATTACTAAATATTTGGATTTATTTTTTGGAATAACTCTAAAATATAATTTATGGTTTCCGCTGTACCTGATACATATGCATAATGCAGAGACAAACCAAAAAAGAGAAAAGGAAGGGAGGAGGGAAGAAGAGAGGAGGGGAGGAGGAGAGAGAGGAAGGGAGGAAGGGAGGGAGGAAGGAAGGAGGGAGGAAGGAGGGAGGAAGGAAGAAGGGAGGGAGGAAGGGAGGGAAGTTGGGAGGAAGGAAAGAAGGAAGGAGGGTGGGAGGTAGGGAAGAAGGAAGGAAGAAGGGAGGGAAGGAGGGAAGGAGGGAGGGAGGAAGGAAGGAGGGAGGGAGGAAGGATGAAGGGAGGGAGGCAGGAAGGAGGAAGGGAGAAAAGGAAGGAAAGAAGAAGGAGGGAGGGAAGGAAGAAGAAAGGAAGGAAGAGAGGGAGGGAGAAAGGGAGGAAAGAAGGAAAGAAAAAGAAGGGAGGAGAGAGGAAGGAAGGAGGGAGGGAGGAAGGAAAGAAGGAAGGAAGGAATAAGAGGAAGGAAATAAAAGCAAGAAGGAAAGAAAGAAAGGAGGGAGGGAGGAAGGAAAGAAGGAAGGAAGGGAGGGAGGGAGGGGGGGAGAAATCCAAGCTTTTAAATTACCTGGTTATTGTAAAATGAGTCATTCAGTTAAAAAAAGAAAAAGAAATTACCTGGTTATTAAAAACTGTTATTAATCCTTTCTGAGTAGCTGTTATTAGTAAATCCAGGTGAGGTATCTTGACAATGCTCTTAATCACATCTCGTCTTCTACTACCTGTCAACAGCATAATATTCATTTCAACTTTCAGCAGTAAAGGTGCTGAAACTCATTTGTTAGATTTGTTTTTTTAAAAAATGATATGGCCAGGGCACAAGTGGCTCACTCCTGTAATCCCAGAATTTTGAGAGGCTAAGGAAGGTGGATTGCTCAAGTCCAGGAGTTCAAGACCAGCCTGGGCAGCATGACAAAGTCCATCTCTACCAAAAACACAAAATTAGCTGAATGTGATGGGTCATGCCTATAGTCCCAGTTCCTCGGGAGGCTGAGGTGGGAGGATCTCTGGAGCCAGGAGGTTGAGGTGCAGTGAGTTGTGATTGCACCACTGCACTCCAGCCTGGGTGACAGAGCGAGACCCTGTCTCAAAAAAAAAAAAAAAGAAAAGAAAAAAAAAGATAAACAGCCAGCTTTTTTGCTAGAAAGCCCCAAGTTACTTAAAAATTAAAGTAGAATAAAACCTAAAACCCGGCAACCATTGTGTTTTAATGATCCTCAGAGATACTAATTTGCATATATAGAGCTTTCTAACTAAATGTGGTACATTAATTCCCAGAGAAAAGGCAAGACACACACCCACCCACCCCCTACACACACACGTGCATGTGCATATTTCACAGAGAACACGTTTTCTAAACATCGTTTGGAGTCATTTCTTTTTTGAGATATTTCACATCTTTTAGGACTCCTTTCTTTGAATTCTCACCATTGTGGTTTACGCATGATAAAAACTTAATACCATCTCAGGCTTTTCAATATAAAAGAATGAAACTAGGACTGTCATTAAGACTTAAAAAAATGTGCATTTTGAAAAAAAAAGACTAGCTAGACACTTTTATGTTTCTATGGCCATGCACTGAATGATAAAGCCATATATATAGAATTTCTTCCAGGGCACTTAATTTTTATAATTGCAAACTCTTAGGAAAGAAAGGCAAGTGAACAGGTGTCATACCCTAGTATTACCACCCTCATCCGTGTATCTCAACAGAGAAGATATTGCCCCCCAAAGGGGTACAAATTAGTTCTTGGAGGGAACATGAATCCATTTTACTCTTTTTGTGCAGAAAGCACAGATACGCATGTAGTATATAATTGGATACACTTAGTAATTAATACCTGAGGCATTAAAATGGCATGGAGCAGGATAAGGCAGAGGGGAAGGCAATTAGGAACAGAAAGTCTAAAAAGGCTCCTTAGGGTTCAGTAATTTAAAAAAAAAGATGGAGAAACACTGCCCTATTGCAAGCCACCATCATTCTCTCTGCTTCCACCCCTTCCACACTACAGACTATTTTTTTTTAAATTTTATTACTATACTTTAAGTTTTAGGGTACATGTGCACAATGTGCAGGTTTGTTACGTATGTATACATGTGCCATGTTGGTGTGCTGCACCCATTAACTCGTCATTTAGCATTAGGTGTATCTCCTAATGCTATCCCTCCCCCCACCCCACAACAGTCCCTGGTGTGTGATGTTCCCCTTCCTGTGTCCATGTGTCCTCATTGTTCAGTTCCCACCTATGAGTGAGAACATGCGGTGTTTGGTTTTTTGTCCTTGCGATAGTTTGCTGAGAATGATGGTTTCCAGCTTCATCCACGTCCCTACAAAGGACATGAACTAGTACAGACTATTTTAAATGCAGAAGCTGGAAAAGAATATAAAGGATAACTCAGGTGACTCCCTCCTCTATCCACAGCCCCCTTGTAGCTTTGTGCCTCATTCAGAAGTCTTCAGCATGTCATACAAGTCCCAGTACACCTGTCCCCACTCCCATCGTTGCTTCTCCAACCTTAGCTCCCACCACTCTCCCCACTACCTGAAATGCATGGTTTGCTCTCTCACTTTCTACAGATCTTTTTCACCTTCCCAGTGGGGACTTCCCTGACCACCCCATCAACCACCATGCTCCCATCCTCAAACCACCTTCTCCTTCCCACATTCCTGCTTTATTTTCCCCACAACCTGCTTTTTGTCCTATAGTGTGTATTACCATCTGACATACTGTATATTTTACTTGTTTAATTTTTGCTATTGTCTGCCTCTCCCTATTGGAATGTAAACTCCATGAGGTCAGGGATTTGTGTCTGTTTGTTCACCGCTCTGTCTCTAGCATTTAGAAAGGTGTCTGGCCTACATAGTAGACTTTAGCAAATATTTGTTGAGTGATAAATGAATTACAGAATGCAACTGCCATCTAGAAAAATACTTGCAAAGCCCTAACATAGACTGCCAGCCACACTTCTCCCCTGCTCTGGGGCCCCTCCTTAGCTCAGTGTGGTGGCAGCAGGGACAGCCCTTTTGTGTCTGTGTGTGTGTGTGTGTTTTCTTTTTCTTTTTCTTTTTTTTTCTAGTTCCCATGGCCAGAAGCCAGGCTCTGTTGAGGTCAGTGGTTGGACTAAGAAAGAGTCAAGGATGAAGGTGGGTTTGGCTCACAAAGCCTTCCAGGTGCTTTGTTTGTTTGTTTGTTTGAGACAGAGTCTCTGTCACCCAGGCTGGAGTGCAGTGGTGGCATCTAAGCTCACTGCAATCTCCACCTCTGGAGTTCAAGTGATTCTTCTGCCTCAGCCTCCCGAGTAGCTGGGACTACAGGTGCACACCACCATGGCTGGCTAATTTTTGTATTTTTAGTAGAGACAGGGTTTCATTATGTTGGCCAGGCTGGTCTCGAACTCCTGACCTCAGGTGATCCATCCCCCCTTGACCTCCTCAAAGTGCCAGGATTACAGGCATGACCCACTGTGCCCAGACTCCCGGTACTTTTTTAAGAGACATCACATTTGACCTTCATCTCAGAATATGAGAGGAAATGCTGGAAGACAGGAGTAGGTTTGAAAGTTTGTCTTCCCTCTTCCTGACCTCCTCCCACCATGGAGGGAAGAAGGAGAAGAAACCCCAAGGTGTTAAGAGTGGAGAGGGATGGGAGGTCCTGGGTCCCAGGCTCAAAGTTGAAAATGAAGAACACATACATTAGAGACTTCCCAGACTGGGACAGTGCCCATCCATGACTGGCCCAAGCTCTCAAGAGATGTCAGGTTAAACATCTTTAAGATAATCCCGGGTAGATGAGAGTGAATAGAAGAGTCATGTTTAGTGAAAACTCAAAAAGTTAATTTTAAGAATAGTTTAAAAGAAACATGACTTCTTTTACTGGAGCATGCATTATTGTGACATCATTGCAGAGAGGTTTAACTGGAAGTCTGAGCCTTTTCAGGAAAATGTGAATTTTCTTCCATCACATTCTCTATTTAGTGTCCTTCAAAGAAATTATAATATTTCCATTTCAACAGTAGTAGAGTTTCTTCTGATACTGCATATGAAACTCTCACCACCCCCGACACCTAGTGATAAAGTATTGAACAAATACATAAAATGAAAAGTGATTCTATGGAAAATATAGTTCCAGTATTCTTGAGGAAAATATTAAAACTCATACTAATTTGGAAGAGAAAATTAAAATGTCACCTGAAATTAAAATTCGCCTTTTTCTAGACACAAAGAAAACCAAATTTTCTTCATCCAACTGGGAAGCAATAGGATCTTCTTCAGAGGAGAAGTATCCAAAGATCTGAAATCCCAAACAGCACATATAAATATGCAGCATGCCTCAGAATTAGCTATAAAGTAGCAGATCTCATGTTGGCTGAATTTAAAGCTAGTTAGGATTAACAGCCAGCACCCTGCTTTGTGAATGTCAGGGGGTTCCCTATACCAGGAGACAGTTTAATACAGCAGTCCCCAACCTTCTTGACACCAGGCACCAGTTTCATGGAAGACACTTTTTCCACGGACCAGGGCAGGGGATGCTTTCGGGATGAAACTCTTCCACCTCAGATCATCAGGCACTAGATTCTCATAAGGAGCATGCAATCTAGATCCCTTGCATACACAGTTCACAACAGGGCTGACGCTTCTGTGAGGATCTAGTGCCACTGCTGATCTGAGAGGAGGCGGAGCTCAGGCAGTGATGCTCTCTCCCCCACTGATCACCTCCTGCTGTGCGGCCCAGTTCCTAACAGTCCATGGACTGGTGGGGTTGAGGACCCCTGGTTTAATATATTCAACAAACTGTATACTGATAATGCATGATTTTTGAGCGGTTACTGATTTTTCTTTTCAATAGAACTGACACTCAGACTGATAGATCTATTCGGAGCTGGCACTTACTTGGAAATCAAATCAGTCCTCATCATGCAGGGCCCCAGCTAAGAACTTTGACACTGACTTTGGCCACTCTCAAATGACTGTCTTACCCATTTTCCATGAATTTTTCAGGGCTAGATTTTTTTTTTCTTTATCCCTGTTGGGGGAGTTTTTATGCCTGTTGGTGGGAACTTAAGAGTTGCTTTAAGTGTTCCAAATCCTACTCTGTAGGCATTGCGTGAGAATAAATTACCATGAAAAAAAAATTGTGAGGAAGAAAAGAGTTCTTATTTGTGAATAAACTGTCGAATTATATAACTCTGAAAAATGAAGAAAATAAGATAGCTGTTCTTTGTCTTATTAACCAACAGAAATAAAATTCTTATAAATTAATGAGCGAACTTAAAAATAATTATGTATTTAAATTTTGAAATTAATAAAATGCTTATAAAAGTTATATAATTAGTATATCAGTATTTCTCATAAAGTTGAATGCACGAAATGAACTGAGGAATCCTTTTGAAATTTCACTGTGCATACTAGCCACCCGGATATCTTGTTAAAATGCAGATTTGGCTTCAGTAGGTCTGGAGTGGGTCTGAGAATCTGCATTTCTAACAAGCTTTTCATGAGAGACTACTTTGAGTTTAAAGGAACTAGTGACTAAATGACTGAACTGGAAATAAATCAAAACCAGCAATGTGCCATTTTGTTTTAATAATATTGATTTAGATGCTAGATGATGGCTTAACATTATATTAATATTTTAATATATGTCCTGTCATCAGTTGCTTCACAAATGTTACTACTTCTTCATGTACATTCCCCCACATTCAAACCTCCCAACATACAATTGCCCTAATTATTCCCCACAGTTAGATTCCCTTCTGTGGGAAAATCAGGCTCATCGAGACTTGCTTGTATTTTCCCTTTTTCCCACCAGCAAAATTAGCACTCAATAAAAGCTTATTATCTTCTCAGAAATCATTGCTCATTTTTTATGGGTACAAAACCCTCTAGGTTTAATATCTAATTCCCTCTGAAGGACTGAGAAAAGAAAAGGAAAATTAATAGATCTATGTTGGAGTGGACAGGAAGGTTTTGTTACTGCAATCTTTGTCATCATTAATTTATGCATTATTCAGTTAACAATTATGTATCAATCTGTACCTCAGCCCTATATCATTCGAACCCACAATACCGCTTCATGGCAAAGAGCATGTGCTGTGGAGTCAGGTGGTCCAGGGTCAGGGTTCAGACTGTACAATGAATTGATAGTCATTACTTGGAAAAATACCTTCACCTTCTGAAGTCTTAACTTCCTCATCAGTAGAATAAAAGAACAAACCTTTGAATTTTGTTTTCGTTTTGTTTTGTTGAGGTTTAAATGACATAATGGATGGCATCAGGTCATGTCAAAATGAGCATTTTGCAGTGTGCCCGGCATATAGTAATCGTTTTAAAACATTAGCTATTGTTATCGTTGGAAAGCCTACATTGAGAAGGCCTCATGGGAGAGAAAAATAAATGATATGTTAATCCAGACCACAGCCTCTAATGAGAACAGTAGGCTGTCTTTAAGGGTATTTTTTTTTTTTTTTGACGGAGTCTTGCCCTGTCACCCAGGCTGGAGTGCAGTGGTGTGATCTCGACTCACTGCAACCTCCGCCTCCTGTGTTCAAGCAATTCTCCTGCCCGAGTAGCTGGAACCATAGGCCTGTGCCATCATGCCTGGCTAATTTTTGTATTTTTAGTAGAGATGGAGTTTCACCATATTGGCCATGCTGGTCTTGACCTCCTGACCCTGTGATCTGCCCACCTCAGCCTCCCAAAGTGCTGGGATTACAGGTGTGAGCCACCACACCTGGCCAAGGGTAGTATTTTAAAACCATCAGTCCACTAAAGGATGAGACTGTTTTTTTCTAAGATTAGTCAGGTGGGCACTTCGGTAAATTGATAGTGTATGAAACTTTGCTGGGAAAGTTATATGACTCCTACAGACAATCAGACCCTGAGAGGGAAATTCCTTCCTAACCTGTCATTTCCCTGTGGTTAGTGCTTCCTTTCTCACCCAGTTTAGAATTGGTGGTCTGTCACCTCAATCATATATTTCCACAATCCTGCCACCACACCCAGCTAATTTTTGTATTTTTAGTAGAGATGAGGTTTCACCCTATTGGCCAGGCTGGTCTCGAACTCCTGACCTCGTGATCCGCCCCCCTCGGCCTCCCAAAGTGCTGGGATTACAGGCGTGAGCTGCCGCGCCCAGCTCAAAGGGTGTCTTCTTTTACTTTCCCCAGAATCTTCAACATCTTTCTTTCTACTGACTTTTCCTTTCAGCATTCAGACAAGTACAGATCTCTCCCATCTTAAAAACAAAAATACAAAAACACCTTCCGAAGTCAATTACAGATAATACAGTAAACCTGCGTCCTATTTTTGCTTTTGTCTTCTCTAGCTTCCTTCTCCAAGTGCTGCACCTCCTTACATTGCTGTTGAGTTTGAATTCCTCTTCTAGCTACATTTTGTTTTCTGTTGGTTGTAACAACAGACATACGTTTATTGAACTTTGACACTTTTCCTCTATGAATTAGTTTTCTATTGCTGCTGAAACAAATTACAACAGTAGCAATTTAAAACAACAATGGTTTCCACTTATTGGCTGTCAGTTCAGTAGGTTTGAAGTCCAGTATGGCTCTCATTTTCCTAATATGAAGGTGTCAGTAGAGATGCATTCTTTGCTGGAGACTTTCAGGAAAGAATCTACTTCCAAGCTCATTGGGATTGTTGGTCTGAAGGCCTGTTCTGAGCTGGCTGTCAGCTTGTACTGCCCTTAGCTCCTAGAGGTCTCTATCTAGTCCTAGTACATGGGCCCTCCTATGTCTCAGCAACAGCAATGGAACTTCAAGTCCCCCATCATGCTTGGAATCTCTTCTTTCTTCCTCTTCTGTTTCTAAGGACTCATATGAGGAGTTTGAACCCACCTAGATAATCCAGGATAATTTTCTTATATTAAGGTTAACTGATTAGTACCTTAATTCCATCTCCAAAGCTCCTTCCCAGCAGTGTCTATGTTCATGTTTGATGGAATAACCAGGGGACAGGAATCTTGGGGAAGACGGGCACCTTCAGAATTCCGCCAGTCACACCCTCATTTTATAAACACAACTTGGTACAATTTAAAGGACTTACGCAAAGTAGACAATTGATAAACATTGGCAGCAAATTTAACCTCAGAGAATAGTGTGAAATAATAATTTTCAGAGAATGTGTAATGATAATGGTGATGATGATTCTTTGTTTCTACATTAATGAATTCCAATGTTTATCAGAGATGGGAGAACTCCACACCATACATGCTATCATCTAATTTGAAATTATGTCTCCTACGTCAATGATACCCATACTCAAAGAGCAATTTACAGACAGTCGTTTAACTTTATTTTAATTTTTGTGGGGATAGTGCCAAGGCATCAGGTGTCTAAGAACAGATGTGAAGAAATTCAGGAGCAATGTCCTATGCAAGGAAGTATTCAGTGCTTCAGGAATTGGTCATGGGTCCAAATCTTGGTTCTACTGTCTACTAGTCACATGACCTCAAGCAAGATCCTTAGTTTCTCTGTACTTGAGTCTTTCCCGTGTGTAAAATAAGGATAATCAGTAATAATCCCCATGTTATGCTCTGTTGTAAGGATTAACTGAGGAAGTGCATGATTAGATTGCTTAGTAATGAGAAAGATTAGCAAGTACTTAGATTGCACCAAGTCCCCAGTAGGAGCTCAATCAATGTCAACATTTCAGTAACTGTAATTCCTGATTTTTCCAGAGACAGTACAGGAAACAGAATTCAAGTATCTTCCTCGCTAATTTAAAACTGTGCACTAAGCATTTTTGTTACTTACCCAAACAACACATCAGCTATGCATTTTAGCATGCATATATTTGATAACCACATCTACATGTAGGTAGATGGCAGACTGTGGACATATGCTCTTACGACAATAATAAATTTTGTTACTTTCACTTGTAAATAACACACTATTACAATGCTTACCAAAAAATAACTTCCAAAGGATACGAAAAATATCAAATTACTTGAATTTATTGAGAAAAATTTGGGTATTATACCAGATAAACTCCTTCAGAAGCAACAGTGAAAGTTTTGCATTTTGAAAGGAAATGTCTCAAGCAAATAATGCTGTTAAAGAGCAGCAAATACCCGTTTCTCCTGTGATGAGCCATAGCCTCTACGATCTCAAATTTCTCTTTCGACCTTTTCAGTTTCAGTGTAGTAATGTTGCCTGTGACAAGATTTGAGTATTTTATCACTTATATATATATTATGACTATTAGAGTGTTAATTTTATTTTAACTATGCTATTTAAAAGTCTTGCTCCATGCTTTAAGTGATTCATTTTTAACTTCATTTTTATCTGATTATATAAGGAACATATGTTCATTGTAGAACATATGGAGAAAATAAAAAAGCCAATAGAAGAAAATAAAAACCTGCATGCAGCTTATTTTTTAACCTATCCTGGAACATTCTTTTAACATTTTTGAAGTTAGCAAATATAATTTTAGATTTATAATAATACACTTTAAATTCACTTTTGGGAGGGAACATAATTATAGGCATTCCATATGGTGTGGTATGCCTCTTCTTTGGATTAATTTGTAGTGTGCTCCTAAAAAAATGTGTTTATAAGTTGCCCACTGGAAACCCAGACTAACATGACATTGTAAGAAAAGTAGACTGTGTCTGCACCAGACTTTTCCATTAACTAGCTTTATAAACTTAAGGCAGTCATATTTCTTTTGATCTCTTTACATTAAATTTTTTTCATTATAAATTGAAGGAGCAGGTCTAGATAATGTTTAGGTGAGTTATAAGATTTCATTATTCTATGAATTTCAAATTCTCCGAGTGTCTTTGCATCAAAAAATCTTGAAAAAGAAGGTGAAACTTTTGTGGCATTGCTACCACAAAGAGATTTATATTTGGAACAAGATTGGTATGTCTGTGCCTGAGTTTAAAAGAATAAATCGTGTTTTTATTACCTGATAAGATTAATATCAACTGATTAAGAAAACACTAGGTAATCCATACTGAAATGAAGTTAGTCTCCTCGAATTGAATTTCCATTTTACAGATGATGGATCTGAAGCCCAGAAAGTTTAGCTCACATGGCTTGAAATAGAAATGCCCCTTAGGAGCACTGACACAAATAATTTGTGAGAAAAATGACAGGACAATAAAAGAAGAACATTCCTGCCCCATTTTTTTTTAAATCTCAAGTCATTCTTTATATACATACAGTGTGCCAGAAGCTGGCCATGAGTTTTTCTATTAAACTTGCATACGATTTATAGGAACCCAAGTGATGTAACAGAATAATGTCATATGTTTTGTTTTTTTAAAGTCTTCTTCTTCTCTCTCCTTCTCCTTCTCCTTCTTCTTCTTCATAGAGACAGGGTCTTACCATGTTGCCCAGCCTGGTCTCAAACTCCTGGGCTCAAGCAATCCTCCTGCCTTGGCCTCTCAAAGTGCTGGGATTATAGGCATTAGACACCGCACCTGGCCCCAGGATAATGTCACATGAACTTACTACATAAAGAGGGAGAAAAATCTCAGTCCCAAGACCAAAACAGACTTTCTGTCCAGCTTTAGATAAGTCAATTAACCTTTTTGTGATTTTTCTCATCTTTATCATTTCAATAATGTATCCTCCATAATCTACATTGCGTGGCTATTGTGAAGATTAAATGAGAACCTGAAAAGAACGTGCTTGAATAAAAGAAGACATTTTACAAATGAAGGAAGATTATGATGTTCTAGCTAGAAAGGGAAAGAGGAGCAGATGTCAGAGACAATGAGGCTTGATTTCCTCATCTGTAAAACAAACAAAAAAAAATCTGATTTACTTTAGTATTTCATTCAGAGACCAAATTCTCAGTTACTGTAGAATTCCATGTAAATGGATTTATCACAGAGTGCTTTGTCTCATTTGTTGGCATTTATGGGCTATCTTTAGAGCGTTGCTTTTCTGAATCTAAGTGTGTAATAAAATATGAACAGACTTTTCTAATTTCCAAATGTTCATAATTTTTTTATATTGACGTGAAACATTGGTTAGACACACATTTTCATATTTTAAGTGGCCCAAAATGATTGCATTAGAAATTCATGCATATAAACCACTGAGTGTTTGAGAAATATTCATAAGAAAATAGAGAACAGTGAGAAAACCTGATTCTCAAAATCACATCTATCCCAAGTTTAATGACATTGCATTCAAGTTACCGATCTATGGGGGAATATCCGCAGGGTTTACAAAGTGTGATAGAGATTAGATCCTGGAACAAAAAACAAAACAATGCATTCATGTTGTACACTTACACAATTTAGGAAAAAAACAATCATTTCTGTGTGGCTGCAGAGTAGCTGACTGTTTCACCCTTCATTTGATTTCTCAAAAATCTTTGGGTGGCTAAGAGCTCTTGTTAAATACATTTATGTCTTCTACTTTATTGAATCAGTATATCTAGAAAAAAAAACAAAAACAAAAAGCAACAAAAAAAATAGCTATGATTCCATCTGCAGTGTTGCTTTTAGGCCCAGGCCAAGGGGCCTATGTCTTCAGAGTGGTGCTGTCCAGTTGAACTTTCTGCAATGATGGACATATTCTGTAATCTGTCCTGTATAATACAATAGCCCCTAGCCACATGTGAACATCAAGCACTTGAAATGTAACTAGTGCAACTGTGGAGCTGAATTTCTAATTTAATTTAAATGTAAATAGCACATGTGGCTAGTGGCCACTTTGTCGGACAGCACAGCTTTGGAAGGCCCCACTCTAGTTTTTTCTGTGGAAGCTAATGGGCCATCGTCTACCAGGGGTCCATAACAATGCTTTTAAACTATGCCCTAGATTCTTCGAACCCCAGAATTCTCTCCCCAAAGGGGCCAAGTCTACTTTCAGGCCTGTGAAGCCTCTTATCCACCATATGAGGGTGGGTTGCACACCACTGGTGTGTACACCTCTAGTTCTGAGGGGGTGGCCAAGGGATAGTGTTTGTGGAGGTGAAGGTATGGAAGAGCTTAGACATGTGGGCCGGGGTGCCCATATGTGAGCACATGGCCCCTCATGATGTAAGATGGAGCCAGTAATGGCAAAAGAAGGGACGGGGGTCAGGGCCAGCTCTCCCCTTGTCTTCACATTTCCGTGTGAAACAGCAAGGAGCCTGAGATTAAACTTTAAGTCAATTCGGGAACAGTTGGTATCTTTACAAACTAAGCCTCTCAATTATTATTCTGCTGTCTTTTTTCAATAGAGTTATCCCATGATACTTTCTCCTATTTGTTGCTTTTGTGAGTGGAATCTTTTTATTTCCTAGTTAGTTTTGGTGAGAGAGAGGGGTGGTTATTGCTGGTGTTCATGGAAATTATTGATTCTTCCATGTATCTTTTATGAACTCTTTTGAACCCTCTCAGTTCTAATAGTTTGCCATATAATTCTATTGGATATTCTTGGTAGAATATCCACAAATAATGAGAATTTTGTATTTTTAAATAATTGATTACATATCAATTCCATTTCTTGCCCTTTTCCCTTCTGTTTGCATTGCTTACAACCTCCAATAAAGTGTCGAAGATTAGTGGTGAATAGGCATCCTTTTCTCGTTCTTGATTTTAATGGGGTTGTGTCCAGTATTTCAGCAATAAATATGATCCTTGCTCAAATATGTTTCTGGTAAGTCTCTATGGTGGACCTATTCTAAAATGTCCTCCTCTTCCCTCCCAGACACACAAGTCACACTTTTGTATAATCTCTATCCCTTAAATATGGTGGAAACTGTGACTTACTTCTAACTAAGAGAATATGACAAATATGATGAGCTGTTTCTCCCATGATTATGTTACATTATATAAAATTTCCTCTTATCAGACTATGGAGGGAAAAATTCTCCTGCTGGCCTTGAAAATGCAAAGTTGTGAACTGCCAGTATAGAGGGCCACACGGTGGGGGCTGCAGGCAGCTTCTAGGACAAGAGGGACGCTTGCAGCCTCCAGTCAACAAGAAGCTGAGGCCTTGAGACTTACAACGGCAAGGCATTGAATTCTGCCAACAACCTGAATGAGCTTAGGAGCAGATTCTTCCCTAGCAGAGCTTCCAAATGAGAACCCAGCTTTGCCAACACCTTGATTGCAGCTTTATGATACCCCGAGCAGAGGGACCCAGTGAAGCTGTCCCAGACTCCTGATCCATGCAAACTATGATATATATTTCTTCTCATTGCTAAATTTATGATAATTTAGTACAGTAGCAGTAGAATCCTAATGCAGTCAGTTTCCTTTCTCAAATTAATGGAATTTTCTATTATTTCTATTCCGCTAGATTGTTTTTCTTTTTAAAGCAAGGATGGCTATTGAATTCTTATTAGACATCTTTTTTTACTTTTAATTTTACTTTAAGGTTGGAAGTCTGCAAACATTTTTCGAAAAGGGCTAGGTAGTAAATATTTTAGGCCTGCAGGCCATTCAGCCTCTATCAAAACTATGTAATTCTCCTATTGTAGCACAGAAGCAACCGTGGCCAGTTTGTGAATGAGTGAGCATTGCTGTGTTCCAGTAAACTTTATTCACAACAAAGGTGGCTGTCTATCCAGATTTGGCCCATAGGCCTTAGTTTGCTGACCTTGGATTGACATTAGCATATTATTTTTTCTCCCCTGACTTGTTAAATGAAGTACGTTTCTGGCTTTTCTAATATTGAACCACCTTTACTTTGCTGGGGTAAATTGTACTTGAATCCTGCACTGCAGGATTCAACTTGTTAACATTTTATTTAGGAGTTTAGAATTTATATTTATGAGTAAAATTGTCTTATAGTTCCCTGACATTTTGTCTATGTTCAATTCAGTGTTATTTTAGCTTCATAAAGTGAGCTGGATAGCTTTTCAGCTTTTCCTACATTATAGAAACATGCATACAACATGGGAATTAAATATTCCTCAAAGACTTTGTAGAAACTTTTTTCATTTGCAATTTTTTCCTAAAATTAATTAATTTGTTTTTTATTTGGGTGATGTGGGGGATTTGGCTATCTTTTATTTTAGGCTTCTAATTTATTATATCATAATTTATTAATATTTTCTTTTTAGCCTAATGTGGTCAATTTTGAGATGGCTCCATATATATTTGAGAGAGATGTATTTTTCCTGTGTCTTAGGTTTAAATTCTCCTTATACATATCCATCGGCTTATAAAATGTGGTATTCAAATCCCTTAGATTCTTACTTTTTCTTTTGTCTACTATTTCTATTTTTTTTTTAAAGAACCAGATAATTTATAAAAATTATTTAATTTCTCTGTATGGATATGTGTAATTTTTTTAAGAATAAATACCATGGTGATCAGAAAACAACTCAGGGAATATAACAGGTAGTCAATTGTAGCCTCTTCTCTTATATTAATAATTTGGATGCACTGAAAATTTGTGTACATTGAACCCATTGAAAAGAAATATCTCATATAAAGTGAAATGACGACCATTAAAATCTTGGTTGTTGTTAGAGGCATGTATAGCTCTTCCTACTGGCAGCTTGGTCTGAAAGGATTTAAGAGTTGTTTATTAATAATACAGCTAAATAGTTACCTACTTTACCCACTTTCATTTGTGGGCAGTGGCCATGTCCTAATGGGTGTAGGTATTGAAACTGACACATGCACGTTGTGGTTCAACCCCTGTGGCAGTAACACTTTGTTTTAATTATTTATTCCAAACTTAGAAAAATAATACCTGGATTTCATATTATGAACATGAAATGAGTCTACCTCACACCAGTCTGCAGATGCATCCGTGTTGTTGCACAGTTTCCTGTAAAAGCGTTTCACATCTTGATTCTTCACATCTGGACCAAAGAGCTTCTGTACCGATGCATAAAACTTGTCATAACCAATTGCATCTGCATTGAAAAAAGTACAGTCCATTTTCATCAAATTCCAAGGACTACCTTTTGTATTTCAGCTACATTTTTTATTTCCTCACCTTGTATTTTCTTTTCTCAATCTATAAAAACCAGATATATTTGCATTTTAAAGACCTTGTCTTTGCACAATCCTAAGCAAAAAGAACAAAGCTGGAGGCATCACACTACCTGACTTCAAACTATACTATAAGGCTGGAGTAACCCAAAGCATGGTACTGGTAGAAGAACACACACTCAGACCAATGGAACAGAATAGAGAACCCAAAAATAAGACTGCACACCTACAACGATCTGATTTTCTACAAACCTGACAAAAACAAGCAATGGGGAAAGGATTCCCTATTTAACAAATGGTGCTGGGAGGAGAGGACTGGATAGCCACGTGTAGGAAATTGAAACTGGACCCCTTCCTTATACCATTTACAAAAATCAACTCAGGATGGATTAAAGACTTAAATGTAAAACCCAAAACTATAAAAACTCTAGAAGAAAATCTAGGCAATTCCATTCAGGACAGAGTCACAGACAAAGATTTCATGATGAAGATACCAAAAGCAATTGCAACAAAAGCAAAAATTGACAAATGGGATCTAATTAAACTTAAGAGCTTCTGCACAGCAAAAGAAACTATCATCGGAGTGAACAGACAACCTACAGAAGGGAGAAAATTTTTGCAATCTATCCATCTGACAAAGGTCTAATATCCAGCATCTACAAGGAACTTAAGCAAATTTACAAGAAAAAAATGAACAACCTCATTAAAAGTGGGCAAAGGACATGAACGAACACTTCTCAGAGAAGACATTCATGTGGCCAACAAATATATGAAAAAAAGCTCATCATCACTGGTCATTACACAAATGCAAATCAAAATCACAATGAGATAATATCTTATACCAGTCAGAATGGCTACTATTGAAAAGTCAAAATACAACAGATGCTGGCGAGGTTGGGGAGAAAAAGGAAGGCTTTTACACTGTTGATGGAAGTGTAAATTAGTTCAACGATTGTGGAAGACAGTGTGGTGATTCCTCAAAGACCTAGAGGCAGAAATACCATTTGACCCAGCAATCCCATTACTGAGTATATACCCAAAGGAATAAAAATCATTCTATTATAAAGATACATGCATGCATATGCTCATTGCAGCACTGTTCCCAATAGCAAAGATATGGAATCAATACAAATGCCCATCAATGATAGACTGGATAAAGAAAATGTGGTATATATACACCATGGAATACTATGCAGCCATAAAAAGGAATGAGATCATGTCCTTTGCAGGGACATGCGTGGATCTGGAGGCCATTATCTTTAGCAAACTAACGCAGGAACAGAAAACCAAATACCACATGTTCTCACTTGTATGTAGGAGCTGAATGATGAGAACACAAGGACACATGGTGGCTAAAAACACCCAGTGGGGCCTGTCATAGGGTTGTGGGGGTGTGGAGGGAGAGCATGAGGAAGAATAGCTAATGGATATTGGGCTTGATACCTGGTGATGGGATGATCTGTGCAGCAAACTACCATGGCACATGTTTACCTATGTAACAGACCTGCACATCCTGCACACGTACCCCTGAACTTAAAAAAAAAAAAAAGATCTTGTGTTTACAAACATAATCAGTCCTTTGGCTAAAATATTACTAAATAAGAAGAAAATATTTTACTGTGGTGTTTGATACATTCTCTGTGGTTTCTGTTTAAGATATTTTAGGAGTTTTGTTCAGGAATGCAAAAATTCAAGAATGAATTGCCTTTTTCCTGTTGTAAAAAGTTTCACCATTGGAGTCTTTGGTAGAATTCATCTTGAGCGGAAGGTGGAAGTGAGCAAACAGCAATTCTTTTTTTTTTTTTTTTTTTTGAGACAGGATCTTGCTCTGTCACTCAGGCTGGAGTGCAGTGGCACAATCATGACTCACTGCAGCTTTTACCTCCCAGGATCAAGTGATCCTCCCAGCTCAACCCCCCAAGTAGCTGGGACTACAGGCACCCACCACCACACCCACCTAATATTTTATTTTTTGCAGAGACAGGGTCTCACTATGTTACAGCCCAGGCTGGTCTCAGACTCCTAGCTTCAAGCGATCCTCCCACTTCAGCCTCCCAAAGTGCTGGGATTACAGATGTGAGCCACTGTGCCTGGTGAGCAATTCTTAACTGGTTCTTAAACTCTATGTAAACACATACACACACACACACACACACACACACACACCATTGCTTGAATCTTGATTTTGTCAAATTTCGTAATTCCCTGGGGTAAGACTATTGAATCTAAGGACAAGAAGGAATTAGATGTGAGGCTTTCTCAAACTGTATAGACAAGATCAGATGGTTTTATTTAGTTAAAAATATGAGTATCTGTTATGTGTAAGAACTGAGCCAGACATTGGGCTTAGAATAGAAAATTAGATAAGCAAGATCCCTGCCCTCAGGGAGCTTATATTATAGCAGGAAATCAGAAAAGTATCAAGTGAACAAACTATTTACAGATTGTGACAGGCAAGGCTAATTAATAAAGATAGACATTACATCAGTGGTTACCTGTGTATAAGGTGAAAAGCAGTATTGCTGCAAAAGGCATGAGGGAACTTTCTGGGATGCTAGAAATGTTCCCTGTCTTGATCTGGATGGTGGCTAAAGGTGTGTTTACCAAGGTTCAAGTTTACAGAGCTACCTCCTTCAGAAGAGTACATTTTATGGGCTTTATTATATGTATGTCAAGCTCAGTAACGAAGTTAAAATAAACAAGTTGTTGTAGAATAAGCACAAAAAAGGAAAGCAGTAGGGAGCTGTGATAAAATTGTATGGTGGTGGCAGGTAGGGGTAGACCTCAGGGAAGGCCTCTTTAAGGAGGTGGGTAAAAGAATTAAGCTGAGACCTGATGAGCAAAAAAAGGGTCAGCCACATAGAAAGCTAGACAAGAGCCTTTTAGGCAGAGGCTGATCAACACGAAGGCCTGTGGCTGCACAGGCTTGGCATGTTCCAAGAAGGTCAGTAGGTATGAGGTACCTACAGTGAGGACTGCGGAAAATGCTGTGAGGTGAGACCAGGGGCGAAGGAGGGCAGAGCTAGAGTCAGAAGCGGGTATTTTATTTTAAGCATGATGGTAAGATGTCTTTGGGGTGTTTTATGGGGTGAAATGATATAATATGCCCTTAAAAAATTTTAAAGCACACTTGCTGCTGCTAGGAGGCCAGATGGAAAGACGTAAAACTAGTGGAGGGCAATTGCACTAGTGTAGGCTTCAGAAAATGGAGGTTTGGGCCAGGGTAACACTGAGGGTGACTGCACATCCTGGGCTGCCATGGAAAGTCTCGTTTATGCCTCTTTTTAAAATTATTAATAACATTCCCTTTCAGTCTTGAAAGTGTCCCCAGTTGGATGGTAAGTGGCACCCTAGAATACAGGCACCCTAGAGATAGTAGTGGAGATGGTAATATATGGTTGGAAGTAGTAGAATTGTAAAGATATGCTAGTGGGTTGGAAGTTTTGGGGGCAGAAGTGGTAAGCAAAGGAAAGGCAGGAATCTAGAGCAGTGGTTCTTATGCAGGGGAGATTTTGCACCTCACCTCCATCCCCAGACAGACACACACACACACACACACACACACACACACACACACACAACATTTGGCAAAGACTTGAGACATTTTTGACTGTCACAACTAGGAGTAGGTGTGCTACTGGCATCTAGTGAGTAGAGGCCAAGGACGCTGCTTAACATCCTACAATGCACAAGACAGCCCCCACCCTAGGCCCCCAACTCCACACACGCACACATATACAAATAATTATTTAGCCAAAACATCAGTAGTGCCAAGGTTAAGATACCTGGTTCTAGAATGACACTCAGGTTTCCAGTTTCAAAACTCAGCAAATGTTGATCTATTTACCAAAAGCAAGGCAATGGGAAGAAGATTGTTGGGGAAAATAAAGCACTCTATTTTGGTAATATTGAGTCAGAAATTCTCATGAGGCATCTGAACAGTTCCTTAGCTGTTTTATATTTATTTACACCAACTGCTACAAGATATGAGTTTCATTGTAAATATCACTGGATGAGGATAATGAGACTTTCTTTGTCCTGGGATAAAATTAATTCCCCCAGGTCACTCACAAGATCTAAGAGCATTACTTTTGAACAAATTCCTTCAATCTACTTGATATCATTTCTGAGGCAGACCCTGTTCCATTAAAAACATTCTCTCTAGTTCTTAGTTCCTTGCCTGTAATAGTGAGAGGGAGACCTTATTTTCCAATATTGGTTAATAAATATGAATTTGTGCCAGACATTATTAACAGCCTGACAAAAGTGAAGATGACATTTCTGCCTTCTCCTCACTCTTTCTTAGGCCGCCCCGTGATAGAAGGTAACTTGTCTAGCAGTATGCAGTTTTCATCAAATCTTGAAAACTATAGAGAAAGGAAATTTTCAGTGTGGCTTTGTGATTGCAAGTTTCTTAATGAGAGCAAGGTCAACTTGTGCATTTAGAACACATTGAAGGAGTACCTTCTGGACACCAGGCCCTGTGCCAGCCTGAGGTTCACAAAGCCTTCAAAACAACCACAGGCCAATGGTGGAGGATAAGGGGCAGGAACGAATGAACACATTAATATCAACTTTAGCAGGTTAAATGAAGCAGGTAAATTCCCCGAGATGGCAATAAAGTGCATGAACAGTGCTGAGGATGGCTTTGCTTAGGGAAAGTTCAGAAGTTTTTACAAAGAGGTGACATTTGATTTGGGTCTTGAAAGATGAGGAAGAGTTTACAGGCATCAAAAAAAAAAAAAGAAAAGAAAAAAAGGCACTCCATATTGGGGAATGACATGCGCAAAATCAGAGTCATTAAGAGCATGTTTGGAAATGCCAAGAAGTTTGTTTTAGGGCAGAAGGTGCATGAAGGGAAATGCCAGGAGTTGAGACTGAAAAGCTGGGCTGAGGCAAGCTGTGAATGACCTTGCATGCTTTGTTAGTATATGTGGATTTTAGAGGTGAGCTAATAAACCAGGAATATGGCACATTGATAATTTTTAAAATGAAAAACTCTTGGCAGAAGTATAGAGAAATGATTAACTTGGCAAAAAGACTATTTTTTGGGGGGTGAGGGGGGACAGAGTCTCTCTCTGTAGCCCAGGCTGGAGTGCAGTGGTGCGATCTTGGCTCACTGCAACCTCTGCCTCCCGGGTCCTGGTTCAAGCAATTCTCCTGGCTTAGCCTCCCGAGTAGCTGGGACTACAGGCACACGTCACCATGCCCAGCTAATTTTTGTATTTTTAGTAGAGACAGGGTTTCATCATGTTGGCAAGGCTGGTCTTGAACTCCTGACTTCGTGATCCGCCCACCTTGGCCTCCCAAAGTGCTGAGATTATAGGCGTGAGCCACCGCGCCTGGCCAAGAAGACTATTACAGTAATAGGCTGTTGTAATAAGCCAAGAGATAGATACCATGACATAGTGAAAGGTTACAGAGTTTGAGTATCCATTATCCAAAATACTTCGAACTAGAAGTGTTTCAGATTATGGATTTTTTTCAGATTTTGGGATATTTACATATACTGTACATAGTGAGATATCTTGGGAATAGGACACAAGTTTAAACACAAAATTTATTTACACTTAATATACACCCCTTATACATATAGCCTGGAGGTAATTTTATACAATAGTTTTAATAATTCTGTGCATGAAACAAAGTTTGTATGCATTGAATCATCAGAAAGCAAATATTAATATGCCCCTATCTCATGTCAGCTCTCAAAAAGTTTTGAATTTTGGAGCATTTTAGATTTTGGATTTTGGGATCAGGGATGCTCAGCCTATACAGCCTATACCAAGATATCTGGCTTAGGAAACTAGTTAGATGGTAGCTATGCTCTAAGACTGAGAGAGAACACAGTAGGCAAAGCTCAAGGAGAAAAAGAAGCAAAGAAAGAATTGAGATGGGAAAAATAAGAATGATGTGATGAAAGACGCAGGATAAGGAAGTTTCTTGAAGCAGAGGCAGCTAACAGTGTTAATCTAGTGCAATGGCCAAGTAGGCTGGAAAATGAAAACAATTTATTGAATTTGGCAACTATATTAGCTTATCACATAGCTTGGTTAGAGCATTTTCAGCAAAGTGATCAGAGAAGCCAGACCTGAGTAGATTGAAAGTTAAGTGGTGATATTGTCAGGAAATTCAGTGGAGAAGGAAAGGAGAGGCATACAGTGGTAGCTTAAAGAAAAGAGAAAGTCAAGGTCATGATGCTTGAGTATATTTTTAGACTGAGAGGACAAATCCAGTAGAAAAGGAGATTTTGAAGCTGCTGCAGCAAACTGATAGCTTTGAAGGGGAGGAGAAATAGAAAGGACAGCTGCTGCTTTCAGTGATTCAGAAGTGGAAAAGGGGGGTTTGAGAGAATTCTTGTCTTTTGACCTTGCTTTCTTTTATGACGTAGAAAACTTGGCTGAGAGAAGCAGACATCCCATAGAGAATTCAGAAAAAGTGTCAAGGGTTTGAAAAACCAATTAGAGAGAGGTAAAACAAACTGACTAGGAAAAAATGCAAGTTTTGTTGAGTAGTTTAGAAGGCCCAGTCAAGTTCCCAATCACCGAAAAAGCATATCCAAAAGGTCCAAGTCTTAGCTTTAACACTTAGAAGTTGGGTGACTTTGGCCGGGCACGGTGGCTCACACCTGTAATCCCAGCACTTTGGGAGGCCATGGCAGGTGGATCACCTGAGGTCAAGAGTTCAAGACCAGCCTGGCCAACATGGTGAAACCCCGTCTCTACTAAAAATACAAAAAATTAGCCGGGTGTGGTGGTGGGTGCCTGTAATCCCAGCTACTTGGGAGGCTGAGGCAGGAGAATCACTTGAACCTGGGAGGCAGAGGTTGCAGAGAGCCGAGATCGCACCATTTCACTCCAGCCTGGGCAATAGGAATGAAACTCCGTCTCAGAAAAAAAAAAAAAAAGAAAAGAAAAGAAAAGAATTTGGGTAACTTGGGCAAATGATTTATCTTCAGCTCCCATTTTTTCCACAAATAAAATGAACATAATGACATTGATTAACATGACTATAAATTATTAAATACTATTCAATTAATACCAGCTTGGGTTTGAACACCCAAAGTCAAGATTTTCACTTACAAATTACTATGCAGCCTGGCACACTCAGAGGCTGGCTATACTATCCCTTTAGCAATTATATGGGCTCTGCTCCTTTCATTGCAACAGCAGGGTTTGTTCTGTTAGTCTTTCACTCTGCCATGTAGCTTTATTTTTCACAGCTGTCCTCAATACGCCAAAGCTGTACACTACACCACTCCCCTTGAATCTTGTCTATGCACTGGCATCTCTGCTGCAAATCCTCCTGTAAGACCACTGTCCACCATATTCTCCTTAGCTTGCATCCTCAAGATCATTCCTGCCTAGAGATATGGAGAGTGGCCAAGACAATGGAATCATGGTGAGGCAGGAAGCTGCACTTCTTATGAAAGTCTTTATGGTCTCATGATATCTTTAGGCTAAGAAAAAGCAGTGCTATACATTACTGAGCATCCCAGGTCAACCAGTGAGCCATCAAATGGCAGCGTCTACAGAAGAACACTGGACGTCATTTAATCCAATCCCATAGTTTTACAATTGAAGCAACTTCGGTTCAGAGAAGTAAAAAAAAAAAACAAAAACAAAAACAAAACAAAACAAAAGCTTCCTCATGTCCGCTTTGTTATTTAGGGACAGAGAAAGAACAAGAACTGAGGTCTTCATCCCCTTTCAGCACCCATTCTTTCACATTAAGCTCTGATGCTTCTCTCTGATGGCTTAAAACATTTTCCAGTTCTAACCAACAGACCCAATTGGACTATCGTGTAATCACTGATCTTACCTTCTTTATGGATAAATAAGCCTGCTCTTTCATCTCTTTTCTGGGCTGCTGTTTGTTCAACCAATTTTTCAAACCTGTTCAAAGCCTTTTTGAAATTGCTCATCTGAAGTGCCATGTTGAGACGCTTTTCCTTCCTGATATCCATAGGGACATAGGGGATCTTTTACTTCTGTACAGAAAGAATACTGCAAGTTTACCAATTTGGAAAACTTTCCAGTTGTTACAGTGCCTCCCTGCTGTCTCAGTTTTTGCCCTAGGTCTAATTCCTTTGATCTTAAAATCCCATAGTGCGGGTAGGAGTAAGAGTTGCCACTAGGATGTTAGCAGGGAGGAAAGCTGATTTAGGTCTGATGCATTTCATACAGACAAACATTTCAGTAAAAATCCTGACCTCACAATGTCATCAGTGTCCTTCATAGGGTCCTCATTGCATCATAATATCTCTGTAACATCCTACTTCCTTCATAAGGAGGAGATTGAGATATTTTTTTCCCCACAGACTGTGTGTGTGTGTGCGCGTGCACATGTGTGTGTTGTGTATACTGCTTGAGAGGGAAAAGGAATGAGTAAATAACAAGTAAGAAAACTGGGTAATACTTTCTCCCTCGTGTATCTCTTCTCACCTCAAACCTTTTGCCTTCCTCACAATACCGCGGAAAGTAAAGTTTGGCCAGGCACGGCGGCTCATTCTTGTAATCCCAGCACTTTGGGAGGCCGAGGTGGGTGGACCACCTGAGGTCAGGAGTTCAAGACCAGCCTGGCCAACATGGTGAAACCCCCGTCTCTACTAAAAATACAAAAATTAGCTGGATGTGGTGGCGGGCACCTGTGATCTCAGCTACTCAGGAGGCTGAGGCAAGAGAATCACTTGAACCTGGGAGTCAGAGGTTACAGTGAGTTGAGATCACACCACTGCACTCCAACCTGGGTGACAGAGTGAGACTTCCTCTCAAAAAAAAAAAAAAGTAATATTCACACTTATTCTTGCCACTGTACTGGATATGGAAATTCGAACTTCTAAAGATGAAATGTATTTCAGCACCTGTCATTTCTACCACAAACATTTTTAGAGGTCATAGGGAATACAAATGCTCTTCTTCCTTTGTGCATTGTCCTTCGATTGAAATAATAAAGTGAGCCAAGGATAAGGAAGGAGTGGCTTCTGATTATGAGGACAGCTTTTCAAGGTAAGAGGTCAGATGAATTAGAAGAGGCCTTTCTGCACATCTCCTTCCCAGTCATTGCAATCTCCAATCCGACTTAGTCCAAATGCTATTGACTCCGGTTTTCCAATTTTCAACTTTTTATGGGAAGGAGAAGTTGTTTAATGTTTCTCAACAATTAGTTAACTTCCTATGGCTTAGGTGAGTTAGATAAATTTCCTACCCCTTGGTAGTCCATCTTTTAAAACATTCTTCAAGAACTTGCATTCAGAGATGAAGCAGATGGCATTTCAGAGCACCTCCAATTCCAGTACTGTCTTCTTGGTGTCCACCTCTAACTATCTGTTAGGAGAGCGCAGTAAGATTTTATTTAAAGAAAAATCCCCCAACCCCATTTGTTTCTCCTCCTTTTTCCTTTAAAGCTTTCAAACCACTGTACAGTGATGTCTGGAGAACCACTCTTCCTACAATTCTAATGCATTCACCATTAATTCATCTAGGAAATATTTACTGAATACACACTTCATGCTAGAGGCTGTTTTAGACACTAAGGATACAGCAGTGAATAAAATAGCTTCTCAAGTTTATAGACTAATGCAGAAGACAGACAAACAAATAAATAATGTATCAGTGAGCAATTGTGCTACGAAGAGAGAGGAATTTTGTGTGTATTAGGGTGGGGGTAAAAATCAAAGTAAAAGAGGTAGGGAGATCAGGGAATTCCCCATTAATAGAAAGATTTCTGGGCAGAAACCTGAAAGAAGTGAGGTAGCAAGTCATGTGGATAAATGGTAGAAGGATGTTCTAGGGACAGCAGGCGTAAAGTCCTGAGATTGGTGTGTGCTTCACATATCTGAGAAACGACAGAGGCCAGTGTGACTGAGGTGGTGTGGGATGAGAGAGAGAGGTAGAGAGAGAAGGCAAGAGAGTCAGGGGGTGGCATCCAGATCACGTAGGATCTTATTGGCTGTTTTAGGACTTTGGCTTTTACTCTGAGATGGGATGTTTTTGAGCAGAACAGTGACATGATCTGACGTGCATTTGAAAAGAATCATTCCAGCTGCTTTGCGGAGAATAAACTGAAAGGGAGAGAGGGTAGAAGCCGGGAAGGCAGTTAAGTGGAAATTTCAGTAATGCAAGTAAGAGATGACAGTGGTTGAGATTAGGGCACTAGTGACGGAGGTTGTGCGAAGTGGTCAGATTGTGTGAAGGTAGATGTGACAGGTGTGCTAATAGATCAGATGGGGGTATGAGAGCAAGAGAAGGATCAGGGACAACTCCAGGGATCCTGGCCCTAAGAAATCAAAAGGATGGAATTATAATTTCCTATGTTTGGGAGGGAGGAATCCAATAGAAGGAGCAGATTGTGGGGAGTGGGGGAAATTAGGATTCAGTTCAGGATATGTTAAGTTTGAGAATTCTATTAGATAAACAATTGTGGATGTTGAATAACCAGACGTAAGAATCCAGGGTTCAGGGGAGAGCTTGGGAGTCATCAGCATTCAGACGGCATTGTATTTAAAGCCATTAGGCTGGATGAGATCACCTGGGAATCAATGCAGATAAAGAAGAAGGCAAGGTGAGGATCAAACCCTGAGCATGCCAGTGTTGGGAGGGCAGAGTGATCAAGAAGAACCACTGAGTAAATAGGAGTGGCTAGTGAGGTACAAGGAGAACCAAGAGAAAGGATCATCCTAGAAGCCAAGAAGAAAAGCTGTTTTGAAAAGGAAAGAGCCACTGGATGGATAATCCAGTTTATTCAATAAAGAAATTGCATAGGAAGACAAAAGGAAGGAGGAGGGGAGCTATAGATTAAAAAGGACTTTAAAGAAACACCATCCAACCACAGTGTGTGGACTGTATTTAGATCTTGACTCAACAACCAAACTTAAAAAGAGTTTAAAATACATGAGACAATTGGAAATTGGAACGCCAAGTAGATATTTGATGATAATAATAAATTATTGTTCATTGTTTAGATTTAATAATTATATTTTATGTTATATTGTTTGTCTTAGTCCATTCCTGCTGCTATAACAAAATGCCTTGGACTGGATAATTTATCAACAACAGAAATTTCTCCCAGTTCTGAAGGCTGGGAAGTCCAAAATCAAGGCTCCAGCAGATTCTGTATCTAGTGAGGGCCTGTTCCTCATAGATGGTGCCTTTTAGGTGTCCTCATATGGTGGAAGGGACAAACAGGTCCCCTCAAGCCCTGTCATGAAGGCACTAATCCCATTTATGGGGGTGAAACCCTCATGACCTAATGACCTCCGAAAGGTTCCAACTCTTAGTACCATCACCTTGGAGTTAGGTTTCAACATATGAATTTCGGGGGGACATAAACGTTTGGACCATAGCACTGTTATTTATGTGATGTTGTATTTTAGAACCAGATACTGAAATATCTATGGATAAGCATTAAAGTATGAAGGAGCAGTCAACCTTGCCAAGTACTGCTGAGGGCCTACGTAAGATGAGGACTGAAAATTAACCATTGGAACGTGGATGCTAGTGACCTTGAGAAAGCCTACCTCAGTGGAATGGTGGGCTAAACAGAGTAGGAGGAGGAGACGTGTTGATAGTAGGTATAAATGCACATTATGGCAGAAGCTTTTGGGAACATCTTTGCTGTTATATGCAGGAGCAAGTCACAGCTATTATGGTCATTTATAGAGCTACCGGATGCATTTGTGCTTATATTTTCTCGGTTGCGGAAATGATGTGGCCACAGATTTAAAGAACATTGAAAATCACTCATGTTCCTACACTCTTACAAAACTATTAATTTTAGAAAATTGCCTTCTAAGCCCAGACCACATACTTTGATAATTTTAGTTTCAACAGAACTATGCACATTATTTAAATTTTAATGTACAACTTCATAAACCTGTCCCTGTGTTTCTAATGTCCTTCATAAGTGTATATTTTTCTTTAATACCTATTTTTCTCAATGAAGTATTTTGCTATTTTATTATTTTTTACATATAAATGACCATGAAAGGCAGTCATTTTAAAGAGCCAGAGGCAAACACACACCTAGCTGTGTAAACAAAGAAATGATATTGGCACTGTCAGAAAAAGACTCTAGAAAAAAGCAGGTGGAATAATTGCTGTGAGTTAGTTTGGCTTCAGCTTCCATGAATGTTATAAGGGCCCGTATGAGGAAGGAGTGCTACCATGACACAAGGCCCATGGTTGGGTCCTCAGCTGGTCTGTTGTGTAGGCCTGGTACCAGTCATCTGGCAGAAATGCTATTGGAGCAATAGGTTGCTCTGGATTTTCTGCTTCTGGGTTCATGATGGCCAACTCCAGTTTCCAGGATAAATCAATGAAGAACTCCTTTGCGGTGAAATGAGTATACTCAGCTAATGCCTATGGCAGGGGACAAAGAGGTAGGCAGGAGCTTCAACAGTACATGGCCCTTGGTGACCAGGTACTGTTAAGAATCTGGGCAAGGCTCACCCTTACATTTTCAGAATAAAAAGATGACACAAGAGCAGAAGCCATCTTGGTGACCACACTCCTCAACACGGCTGTCTCTTGAGTCATATCCCTGCAGTCTGGACTGATGCCTTATACACACAGGGGCATGGCTGTCCTGCTACCATCCCCCTTCATCATCATTTTGAGAATTCCCTCATCCTCAAGCTTATATACTATGTCTTTCCTCACCATGATTTATTCCCTCATTTTGGTGACTCATATTCAGAAATAGGGCCTGGAAGATAGATATGTTTTTGATAGTTGCATATCTGAAAACATCCTGATCTTTCCTTGCACTTTGTTGATATTTGGTTGGGTACAGAATTTTAGGTTGGAAATTATTTTCTTTAAATATTTTGAAGATATTACTCCATTGTCTTTTTGCTTCTAGTGTTGCTGTTAGAAGGACTGTATTCTGATCAGCTTCCGTTGCTGATTATAAGCTATTCTGATCCCTGATGCTTTGTCCATAGCTTGTTTTAATCTTCCTCCCTCAGGAAACTTATAAATGTTCTCTTTGACCCCAGTGTACCAAACTTCCACTATAATGGGTGTTGGTGTGGAGATATATATATATATGTAAATTAATCATAACTTCACTAACCAGTTTCTTCTGGAAATTGTTTACTCTTCCCTACCTCCTCTGTCATGTAAACTGCATTTTTTTTTTTTAAGACGGAGTCCTGCTCTGTCACCCAGGCTGGAGTGCAGTGGCGCGATCTCGGCTCACTGCAAGCTCCACCTCCTGGGTTCACGCCATTCTCCCGCCTCAGCCTCCTGAGTAGCTGGGACTACAGGTGCCTGCTACCACGCCCGGCTAATTTTTTCTGTAGAGACGGGGTTTCACCATGTTAGCCAGGATGGTCTCGATCTCCTGACCTCGTGATCCGTCCGCCTCAGCCTCCCAAAGTGCTGGGATTACAGGTATGAGTCACTGTGCCCAGCCATAAACTCCATTTTTTAACAGCAATGTAACAAGTGAGATTTTATTTTAAAAACAAATGTATGTATTTGGGGGTTGAGTGGATGTGGACAGATACACAGTTTATGTATTAAGCTGATCCCTACATCTCACCCATCTGAGGAGCTGTATGCACCAGGAGCATTGACATTCAGAAACTTAAGGCATGCTAGATTCTCCTTTTTTTAAAAAAAAGTTCAAGCACATCCACTAAATTGCATTTCCTAAGGTAGGAAAAGTGCATACATGTTTCACAAGATTTTCAGTAAGGGCTCTTCTGCTGCTCACCAGAGACCAAGGTTAGAGGGGCCAGGGAAGAATGTGTCTCAACCCTGGGAAAAGGAATGCTTGATGGAAGTTCCCTCTCTGTTGTCCCCTTATGATGCAGAAGGCTAGGGGTTATCAGTTTCCAAACAAGAATGTCAAATGAAACGTGTCTCCATTCCTCGCTCCCCTATACTTTGCAAAGGACTTCCTTGGAATATAGGTATTGTGATAATTTAATGTTCCAATGTAAGAGGGTGTTTAGAGGGTTTTAAATGAACCTCTTTCTGTCTAAAGGACAGGCTAGACGGCCCACGCGGGAGGATGTGTGCAGTCACTGGGAACCAGTTCCGCAAGCATTAGCTCCTGCTCACCTTCAAACTATTTAAGAGAAGGCAACGAGTTCATTAGGAGCTCAAGGATATCCTTAATGAGCACTTCCACAGAGAGAGTGTTCAGCATGGAGGAGCCATGACATCTCCCCATTTCTTTCCATCCCAGGGGCACTGACAGGGAGAGTCTGGGGCTGGCCAGCTCTCTGCAGCAGACCACTTCCAGAATTTGGCAGGGCAAAAGATGCATACATATGTACAGAGGAACAGACGCTAGACTCTCAGTAGAGGGGCCAGACTGGGTCAGCTTGGGAGGGTCCCCAAGCAGGGTCAGAGAGTGAGATCCCAGCAGACAGCTACTAAAGGCATTGCCTCTGTCGAGAGAGTTGTGTGAGAAAGATGCCAGAGATCTCAATTTCTCTAGAGAACCTGAAAATCATCCTAGAAGAGAAAAACCCAACATTTAAAACTTGCTACAACCAGAGAGCACTAATATCAATTATTTTTAAAAGACAAAGTTGCAATCTGTTGCCCAGGCTGGATTGCTGTCTCCTGGGTTCAAGTGATTCTTCTGACTCAGCCTCCTGAGTAGCTGGGATTACAGGTGCATGCCACCTCACCTGGCTAATTTTCATATTTTTAGTAGAGATAGGATTTCACCATGTTGGCCAGGCTGGTCTCGAACTCCTGACCTCAAGTGATCTGCCCATCTCGGCCTCCCAAAGTGCTGGGATTACAGGCGTGAGCCACCGTGCCTGGCAGAGAGCACCAATATCAGACTACAACTTAACCAATCAAGGAAGATTTTTTTTCCCTCACAATCTCAAAGGGGCCCAGAGCAGCATCTACAGGTAGCGAGCGGATCAAGAAAATGGGGGAAGCTAAAGTTGTTTTCCTTCTCACCTCCACCCTCACAGAAGTTCTCCAGGCCTGAGGCTGGCTGTATCTTGGAGGGTGTGGACAAGCGAGTTTTCCGTGAGTTTTAGCTTTTCAGCATTACAATGTGCTGGCCTTGATGTCAACTGCAAGGGAGCAGAAAAGCTTTGGAAGCTGCCAAAATTCCATCTAAGGGCAGGAAGGAGCAAATGGTCAGAAAACATTTGAAATGAGTAGGGAGAACAAGCTGCTTTTTGGTTGCAGCATACTGAGTTCAGCTTGCTTCCTCAACTGGTTATAGTAGTTTATTTCTCCCACTCTGAGAGAGTGAAATGCAGGCACAATTTGCACATGCTTTTTTCTTTTTTTAAAAAAAAAAGTGGTAAAATATACATAACATAAAATTTTCCTTTCTAACCATTTTTAAGTATACCATTCAGTGGCATTGTGTACATTTACAATCTTGTGCAACCATTACTACTATTCGTCTCCAGAATTTTTTCGTCATCTTAAACAGAAACTCTCTACCCATTAAACACTAACTTCTTATTCTTCCCTCTTCTCAGCTTCTGGTAACCACCATTCTACTTTCTGTCTCTGTGAATTTGCCTGTTATAGGTACCTCATATCATTGGGATCATATAATATTTGTCCTTTTGTGTTTGGCTTATTTCCCTTATCGTAATGTTTTCAAGGTTCATCCATGTTGTAGCATGTACTAGAATTTCATTTCTTTTAAAATATGGCTGTATAATATTCCATTGTATGTATATATCACATTCCATGTATCATTCATCTGTTGATGGGCATTTGAGTTGTTTCTATTTTTTGGCTATTTTGAATAATCCTATTATGAACATAAGTATACAAATACCTGTTTGAGTCCCTGCTTTCAATTCTTTTGTGTATATACCTAGGAATAGGATTGCTAGATCATATGGCAATTTTTTTTGTTTTGAGACAGGGTCTCACTCTCTTGCCCAGGGTGGAGCGCAGTGACACGATCACAGCTCACTGCAACCTCAAACTCCTGGGCTCAAGGGATCCTTCTGCCTCAGCCTCCTGAATAGTTGGGTGAGACTACAGGTATGTGCCACCACACCCAGCTAATTTTTTATTTTTTTCTGAAGAGATGGGGTCTTACTATGTTGCCCAGGCTGGTCATTGTACTCTTGGCCTCAAGTGATCATCCTGCTTAAGCTTCCCAAAGCACTGGGATTACAGGAATGAGCTCACAATAATTCTATGTTTAACTTTTTGTGGAACTACCAAATTGTCTTCCACAGGAGCCACACCATTTCACATTCCCATCAGCAGTACGACAGGGTTCTAATTTCTACACATCTCCACACAAAAACCAACACTTGTTTTTGTGTTTTGTTTTGTTTTTTGATGATAGCCCTTCTAGTAGGTGTGAAGTGGTATGTCATTGTGGCTTTGATTTGCATTTCCCTAATGACTAATCACAGTAAGTTTCCTTCCATGTGCTTTTAGGCCATTAGTATATTTTTGGAGTAATGTCTACTCAGATCCTTTGCCTATTTCTGAATTGGGTTGTGTGGAGTTTTTTGTTGTTGAGTTGTAGGGGGTCTTTATAATATTGATGCCTTATCAGATATATGACTTGCAAGTATTTCTCCCATTTGCTGTGCTGTCTTTTCACTCTTTTGATAGTGCCCTTTGATGCATAACAGTTTTTAATTTTGATAAAGTCCAATTTAGCTATTTTTCTCCTGTTGCCTGTGCTTTTGGTGTCATACCCAAGAAGTTTTCTTCTAAAAGTTTTATAGTTTTAGCTTTTACATATAGGTCTCCAATCAATTTTGAGTTAATTTTTATATATGATATAATGTAAGGCTCCAACTTCATTCATTTGCACATGGATATGCAGTTTTCCCAGCATCATTTGTTGAAAAGACTGTCCTTTCCTCCTTTCCCCATTGAATGGCCTTGGCATCCTTGTCAAAAATCAATGGACCATATATGTAAGAGTTTATATCTTGGCTCTCTATTCTATTCCATTGGTCTACATGTTTGTCCTTATGCTGTGTATTAGGCTGTTCTTGCACTGCTGTAAATACCTGAGACTGGGTAATTTATAAAGAAAAGCGATTTAATTGGCTCACAGTTCTGCAGGCTGTACAGGAAGCATGGTGTTGGCATCTACTCAGCTTCTGGGGAGGCCTCAGGGAGCTTTTACTCATGGTGGAAGGCAAAGTGAGAGCAGGCATCTCACATGGCGACAACCAGATAGGGAGAGAGAGAGAGAGAGAGTGGGATGGCGGAGTTGCCACACACTTTTAGATGACCAGAGCTCACTTATCACAAAGGGGATGGCCCAGGCCATTCATGAGGGATCCGCCCCCTATGACCAAAACACCTACCACTAGGACCCACCTCTAATATTGGGGATTATATTTCAACATGAGATTTGGGTGGGGACAAACATCCAAACTATATCATGCTGGTGTTTTTCATTTGTTTGTTTTTTGTTTTTTTTTTTAATAAAAGATTGTAGTGTTCTGCCATTATCCTGTCATTACATAATTCTAAAATTAAAAAAGAAACATATATCCTTATCATTGCCTGTTTCTGTCAAGCTCAATAAATGTCCTTAATGGTTCATAGTATTGTAAAATTACTGTGTCAAAAATGCTTAAGCATTTGTCAAAGGCCTCTTACTCCTCCTTTGCATTCACTGCTAGTAGGCATTGCCCTGGACTTTACTCTGATTGAGTAAAAGCCAAAGTCCTTTTATTGAAATGGCCAAGGTCCTGCATATTCTGGCCATTCACTGCACACCCACCTGACTGGCTGCATTTCCCGATTCTCATTCTTGCTTCCTTATTGTTCCTCCAACATACCAATACAGTACTCCTGCCCATAACCACCTTGTCTAAATAACAACCTTGACAGAGCAGGTGCATCACCATCATGGACAAGCACTGCCATTTTAAAGTTCCCCTTGATCAAAAACCACCTAAATCCAAACAGCATCAGCCTAATGGCTAAGGTCAGCATGACCATACACCACAAATGACATCTCCGACCAGAAACATTCCAACCCTAAGATAAACCCCTCCCTGACCAGAGACATGCGAGCCCCGAGATAACCTCCCCTCCGACAGAGACATTCCAACTTGGCAATAAACTTCTTCTCCAAACAGAAACATTCCACGCCTGTGATAAGCTCTCTCACTCTAAAATCCTTAAATACTCTTAGTCTGTAAGAGAGTGCTCCTGACCGAAATCGGCCAGAAGCCCCTCTTAGGTTTATTCTTCCAAATAACACTGTCTGACTGTTGAGCTGCTATTAGTGTTTCTTTCCTCTTTCTTTAACTCTTACAAACTCCTTGCCCCATCTCCCATAGCTCCTGGCTCAACCTCCTGAGTAGCTGGGACCACAGACATGTACCATCTTGCCTGGCTAATTTTCTATTTTTTGAAGAGTTAGGGGGCAGTTCTCACTTTGTTGCCCAGGCTGGTCTTGAACTCCTGGGCTTAAGAAATCCTACTGCCTCGGCCTCCCAAAGTGCTGGGGTTACAGGAATGAGCCACCACGCCTGACCCCTATTTCTTCATGGCATTTGTCAGTGGCTGACACCCTACGTATTTATCTAATTTTTGTTTGTTCTCCCAACACGACTGGAATGTGAGCTTTATAAGGGCAATGACTCAGCAATGAAGAATGAATAGGAAAAAATATAGCGAGTTCTTTATTCATTCATTCAAATTACTATTTATTGAGAACTTACTGTAGACTAGACACAGAAAACACTTTCGACATTAAACATATAGAACTTGTTAAATAGTTATGTTTTGTTCAGTGGTTGTACAAATCTAAAATTAACAATTAAAAGTGTGTGTGTGTTTTTTAAGGGGTGGGTGGGTAGGAAGTCTCACAGATGGCGAGTCCAGAGCAGAAGCCTTGAAGGAAAATCAAGGTGTCAAAGGCAGAGCACACTGCCCCTTAGCTATTGCTCAGTGCACCAGGGTGGAGAGCTGCTGCCAGCCTATTAGATCCTCTCTCCAGGGAATTCAGAATGTGGATTGATCCAAGCTAGTCATTCCCTACTGATCTTTCAAACAGAGGTGAGGCACGCCCGTATGGAGAGCAGTTTCTTTAGCTTGCACAAACCCTGTGTTCGTCACCAGTGTCCAGGACAGGCTGCAGGTGTGGCTGGGGACTGTGATCTTCTTGTAGGGCCTCCTTAGGGATTGTGCAACCACAAAGGCAGAAGCAGCTCTTGCAGAGTGTGATGACGTTCACAACCTATATTTGACTTGTACTATATTCTCATCACTACAGGAGAAGAGGCCCAATGGGAAATGTGTGCTGTTCTAAATATAGCACCTGCCTCCTATACCTGCTAGATTTAGGTTGAATCTTTCACTGCCTGTGAAGGACTTTAGCAGGCCTCAGTGACCGGAAAGATCTACCCACGCTTTCAAGCACAGGAAGGACGGTATTGGAAGGCCTTGGGGTCCAGCCCAGGGCTTAAAGTCAGTTCCATTGGAATGCCATTTTCAGAGAGTTTTCATCCCAGACTCTCCAAGGGTGGCAGGCTCTTGTATCAGCCCTGGGACATGTGTCCTCTAGCAGTCAGGTAGTTAGGCAGGCACCTGTCTATCAATTTGTTGTTTTTCTTCTCAGTTTTCCGGTAAGACTACCCCGAGCTCTTCAATGTTTTCTTTGCTTTTGTTTACATTGAGTGTATGACGCGGGATGGGCTTCGTAGGCTGGTTGTGGGTTATTACAGCTTCCCAGGAAGGGGAGAAACCCAATTCTTGCCAGCACGTGGTGGGCGCAGGCGCTCATAAATACTTAGGAATAAATGAATGTATAAGTGAGTGCATGAATGGGTGAGTGGACACGAAGCTTTCAAGGTGGGTGCAGGGAGGTGGGGGTGTGAAGAGCCATCGAGGCTACCCTGCGGCCCTGGCCCCCAGGCTATCCCGCGACGCGCGTCCACGCCGACCAGCGGAAGGTGCCCAGCCAGTGGGGGCGGGGCGAGCTAGCCGCGAGGACGCGCCCGCGGGGGGGCGGGGCTAAGAGGACGCGCCGGGAGCAGCGGAGCGACGAGGACAGGCCGCGGGGAGGGGCGGGGCCACGGGGGGTGCGCCGGGCGGAAGGGGCGGGAAGAGGGCGGGCCCGGCGCGCGGTAGCGCGGGCCCCTCAGTGCACAATGGCTAGAGCAGGCGGCGGAGCCCCAACCCCACCCAGTGCGGAGCGCGCCGCGAGCCCCGCCGCAAGCTGAGCGCCTCCGCCCGCCAGGCGCGCCGGCGCCGGGCCATGTACTCGGGGAACCGCAGCGGCGGCCACGGCTACTGGGACGGCGGCGGGGCCGCGGGCGCTGAGGGGCCGGCGCCGGCGGGGACACTGAGCCCCGCGCCCCTCTTCAGCCCCGGCACCTACGAGCGCCTGGCGCTGCTGCTGGGCTCCATTGGGCTGCTGGGCGTCGGCAACAACCTGCTGGTGCTCGTCCTCTACTACAAGTTCCAGCGGCTCCGCACTCCCACTCACCTCCTCCTGGTCAACATCAGCCTCAGCGACCTGCTGGTGTCCCTCTTCGGGGTCACCTTTACCTTCGTGTCCTGCCTGAGGAACGGCTGGGTGTGGGACACCGTGGGCTGCGTGTGGGACGGGTTTAGCGGCAGCCTCTTCGGTGAGTTGGACTGGGAGAAGGCAGCCTCCCCTCTGCAAACTTCCACTCCCCACCCCGCTGCCCGCTCCGTGCGTCCGCCCCCCAGCCCGCCCCGCACCGCTTCCCGCTCGGCCCCGCGCCCCCCGCCCTACACCGCCCCGCTCCCCGCTCGCCTCCTCAACGCTGCCCGACCCCAGCCGCATGGCGGGTGCCTTCCTCTTCCTCCGTCCCCTCCCGCCCCACGCTGTCCAGGACTCCATTCCTGTGGTCTCTCATCTGCCCCCCACGTTGACCCCAAACCCCGGCCCGCCTCCTTTCTTATTTGTTTTTACCTCCTAAGATCACTCAACAAGGCACGAAACCACGGCTTTTTACACTTTGAGGAAAGAGACGAGGGCCTGTAGAGTCAAGAGATTCAAGAAAAAAAGTGATTAACTCGTGAAAGTTGGAGGGAGTGATGAGATTAGATTCATGTACTACTATTTGTTTCCTAAAATGAGAGTAGAAAACCAAAATAACAATGTGTAAAAAAAAATTCTCATTAGTACTTGTAAACCTTTGAATGCTTTCTAGGGAATGAGACAGTTTCATTCAGGTCCTCAGAATGCAAATTGGCATGTGCCCTGTAAGCTGTTTTTACTATTTTCCGTCTTATAGATGGGTTCCAGCACACCAGAATCTTGGGTGAGATTACAAATGGCTCAGCCAATACCATCTCAGGTGAACAAATACTGTAATTAGCTCTGCAATCGGTAGATTTCATTAAAGTAGAACTTCATTGTTGAAGATGTATTTCGACAGTACTCTTATTATGGAAGATTTAAGTTTCACTGAGACATGATGTTTTGAAGGATGATCAACAACTCAGCAAATCATTGAAGGAAGCGTAGAAAGGAAATTATTTTTTTGTGTGCCTCAGGAATTTCATTTGTAGGGAGATTTGAAATAGAAATGTGTATTTCTCAAGGCTTAAAGTTCCTTTTTTAAATCCTGAAATCCATTGATACTTTATTGCTTTAATCTTGGTAGGTTTGGGAGAACAAAAATCTTTGTAGAATTATCAAAAATATTTTCTTATTCAGTAACCTCTATGCTATGACAAACCCAAATATTATATTTGTAATGATTCATTTTTTGGCGTTTTGAAGGAAATAAGAAAATAGATTTTATTTGATTGCTTCAGAGGTTATAATATTTTCCTCCCCGCCCCTCATAAGCTTTAATCTGATAATTTC